>NC_000006.12:10666060-10817575 GCF_000001405.40 Homo sapiens
GGGATGTTGAATTTTATCAAAAGCCTTTTTTGTATCTATTGAGATAATCCTGTGGTTTTCATCTTTAGTTCTGTTTATGTGATGAATCACATTAATTGATTTGTGTATGTTGAAGCAACCTTGCATCCCAGGGATGAAACCAATTTGATTGTCATGGATAAGTTTTTTGATGTGCTGCTGGAATTGGTTTGCTAGTATTTTATTGAGGATATTTGCATCAATGTTCATCAAGGATATTGGCCTGAAGTTTTCTTTTTTTGTTGTATCTCTGCCACGTTTTGGTATCAGGATGCTAGCCTCATGGAATGAGTTAGGGAGGAGTCCCTGTCCCTCCTTTTCAATTTTTGGAAATAATTTCAGTAGAAATGATACCAGCTCTTCTTTGTACCTCTGGGAGAATTCAGCTGTGAATCCATTTGATCCTGGGCTTTTTTTTTGCTTTTGGTTGGTTGGTAGGCTATTATTAATTGCTGCTTCAATTTCAAAACTAATTATTGTTCTATTCAGGGATTCAATTTCTTCCTGGTTTGGTCTTGGGAGGGTGTATGTGTCCAGTAATTTATCCATTTCTTCTAGGTTTTCTAGTATATATGCATAGAGGCATTTATAATATTCTCTGATGATTGTATTTCTGTGGGGTCAGTGGTGATATCCCCCTTATTATTTCTGACTTTATTTCATTCTTCTTTTATTCTTTATTAGTCCAGCTAACAGTCTATTTTTTCAAAAAACCAACCCCTGGATTTGTTGATTTTTGAAGGGTTTTTCATGTTTCTATCTACTTCAGTTCAGCTCTGATCTTGGTTATTTCTTGTTTTCTGCTACCTTTGGGGTTTGCTTGCTGTTGGTTCTCTAGTTCTTTTAGTTGAGATGTTAGATTGTTAACTTGAGATGTTTCTAGCTTTTTGATGTGGTCATTTAGTGCTATAAATTTCTCTCTTAATACTGCTTTAGCTGTGTCCCAGGGATTCTGGTACATTTTCTCTTTGTTCTCCTTAGTTTCAAAGAACTTCTTGATTTCTGTCTTAATTTCATTATTTACCCAATAGTTGTTCAGAAGCAGATTGTTCAATTTCCATGTAGTTGTGTGGTTTTGAGTGGAAATTCTTAATCTTGAGTTCTAATTTGATAGCACTATGGTCAGAGAGACTGTTATGATTTCAGTTCTTTTTCATTTGCTGAGGAGTGTTTTACTTCTAATTATGTGGTCAATTTTAGAGTAAGTGCTGCGTGGTGATGAGAAGAATGTAAATTCTGTTGTTTTGGGGTGGAGAGTTCTGTAGTTATCTCCCAGGTCCACTTGATCCAGAGCTGAGTTCAGGTCCTGAATATCTTTATTTTCTGTATCAATTATCTAATATTATCAATGGGGTGTTGAAGTCTCCCACTATTATTGTGTGGGAGTCCAAGTCTCTTCGTAGGTCTCCAAGAACTTGCTTTATTAATCTAGGTGCTCCTGTATTGGGTGAATATATATTTAGGATAATTAGCTCTTGTTGTTGAACTGAACCCTCAGCTCCATCAGGTTGGTTATGTTCCTCTCTAAACTGGCTATTCTAGTTATCAGCTCCTGTATTGTTTAGATTCCTAGCTTCTTTGCATTGAGTTACAGCATGCTCCTTTAGCTCAGTGAAGTTCAATATTACCCACCTTCTGAAGCCTACTTCTGTCAATTCAGCCATCTCAGTCTCAGCCCAGTTCTGTGCCCTTGCTGGAGAGGTGTTGTAGTCATTTGGAGGAGATGAGGCACTCTGGTTTTTTGAGTTTTCAGCATTTTTGCATTGATTCTCTCCCATCTTTGTGGGTTTTTCTACCGCTGATCTTTGAAGTTGCTGACCTTTGAATGGGGTTTTTGTGGGGTTTTTGTTGATGTTGTTTTAACAGTCAGGAGATTCTTCCATAGGGCTTCTGCGGTTTGCTGGGGGTCCACTCCAGACCCTTAGTTGCCTCAGTTTTTCCCATACCTGGAGGTATCACCAGTGAAGACTGCAAAACAGCAAAGATGACAGCCTGCTCCTTCCTATAGAAGCTTTGTCCTGGGGGGTAACTGACCTGTTGCCGGCCCAAATGCACCTGTAGGAGATGGCTGGAAACCCCTATTGGGGGGCCTTATTACCCAGTGAGGAGGAATGGGATCAGGGACGCACTTATAGAAGCACTCTGGCTGCTTTTTGTAGAGCAGGTGTGCTTCACTAGGGAGAACCCTTCCTTGTCTAGACTGTTTGTATTCTCCAAAGCTGACAGGCTGGAACAGCTGAGTCTACCAAACCACAGAGATGGCAGCCAATGCTCCCCTTAGGAACTCAGTCCCATCTCTGGCAGACTGTTGCCATTGGCTGGCTGGAATTCTAAGCCAGTGTGTCTTAATCTGTGAGGTGCCATGGATGTGGGGCCCACAGAACAACGCTGCTTGGCTCCCTGGATTCAGCCCCCTTCCCAGGATTATTTACAGATGGATATCCTACCTTGCCAGGGATCCGAGGGTCAGAGAATGTAAAACTCCTGGGTCTCTTTGTGTCTGAGAAGCTGCTCTGCCAAGACTGCGTGTAGCTTTGTGTATCGGACTCAAGGCCCTGGTGGCACAGGCTCACAAAGGGATCTCCTGATCTGCAGGTTGCAAAGATCCATGGGGGAATTGTGGTTTCCTGAGTGGGCTTGCACAATCACTCACCACTTTCCTTGGCTAGGGGCAGGGGTTCCTTTGGCTCCATGCTGTTCCCAGTTGGGCCATCACCCCACCCTTCTTTTCTTTGTTCTCTTCGGGTCAAGTTGTTTGCCTAGTCAGCCCCAATGCAAGAACCTGGATATTTCAGTTGAAGGTGCTAAATTCACTCCCCACTTTCATTCCTCTCCATGAGTACTGCAGCTGCTTCTAATAGGCTATCTTGGCCCCTCTGCCTTTGGAATCACTTTCTAAAGGCAAAACTGACCATGCCAATCCCATCCTTAAAATTAGTTCATTGCCTCCTAAATACAATTTTAATAAAATCCAAATTCTTTACAGTGACCTAAAATCCCTGCCTGAGCTTACTCACGATTACCACACGAGCCATGTATCTGCAACAGGGGACAATATCAACCTCCAGGGAGGTGAATATTGGTTCTGGAGGGGAAGAGAGGGGATAAAGTAAATCTTTCTTTTTCCAACGTATAAAGAACAGGTATAGATAGAGCATATATAATACCTATGAAATTAAAATCTTATGGAAGGGGAACAATTAGAAAAAGAGTTTAAAGAAAAATTGAGAGATCCGCCTAATCTAATCTCAGGTTCCTCTTCCCCTTACCTATAAGACCAGCGCTACACAATATAGTAGCCCCTACTGACATGTGGCTACTGAACACTTGAAACATACCTAGTACAAAAGGAAAAGCAAAGTTTTAATTTTGCTTAAATAAAATTTCAATAGCCATATGTGGCTAGTGGCTACCATAGCAGACAACACAGCTCTAGACACTCTGACAGACCTCGTTTTGGTTCAAGGATATCAAGCCCTTTGCACATGCTATCTGTATCTATCCATGCTAGAGTCAGGATACTTTTGCTACAAATAACAAAAATTCAGAGTGGATTAAACATAAGTCCAGATGAGAGAATCCAGGGTTGGCTAATTCAACAGCTTCAATGCCATTATCATGGATCCAGGTTCCTTCCATCTTCCTTCACTGCCATCCCTGGTGCATGAGCACTACCCTAAGATTGTTCCCCTAAGAGTCACAGTATGTCTGCCACAGCACCAGGCATCACATCTAAACCTAATGCTCAGTATGAGACTGTAGCTGTCTCTTTTTTGTTCCTTTTAAAAATGAGATAAAACATCACCTCACATCTCGTTAGCCAGAATTTTATCATATGTCTCTTATCAATCACTGGCAAGAGGAATGGGATCACTACACATGGCTCAGATGCTACAAGAGCCATTCCCTGGAGCTGAATATAGTGCTGGTCCCCAAAACATATGGCTAGAGGAGGATGATGGATACTTGATCAAGCCAGGGCCCTGTAGGAAAGTAGGGACTTGCACACCTTGTATTAAGGAGGTGAGTGTGAAAGTAGAACTTCACCCTCTGTTCTAGGTAGAACTAAGTTGAGCTAGTTGAGAATATCCCTGTGCCACTGGTTTTCAGAGTGTTGTTATCCATAAACTTTTTAGAGAACTGAAAATTGTCAGGTCCCACCCCAAACCTATTGAATCAAACTCAGGATGGTGCCCAAGAATCTGTGTTTCAGAAAGTCTTCTAGGAGATTCTGATACACCCTAGAGTTTGAAAACATTGCCTTATTCCAGTGGTTTTCAATTGGGTGGTGGTGGTGGGGATTTTGCCTGTAGGGGACATTTGACAATGTCTAGAGACATTTCGGTTGTCACAACTGGAGTGCAGGGTGCTACTGGCATCTAGCAGTAGAGGTCAGGACAACGTGCAAGACAGTCTCCCACAGCAAAGAAGTGTCCAGCCCCAAATGGCAATAGTGCCAAGGCTGAGAAACCATGGGGCAGAGGAAGCTCCTTTACAATGGCTGCAGCCCGCCTGGCTCTCCATGTAGGATTCGGTCTTTGAACCTGTTTAGCGCAAGGATTAGCATCTGTCAAGCACCTTCAGAGCAAAAGAGATGTCAGACTGCCCTTGCCCACAGTCTAATCGACTTGTTTCTAAGCAATCAGTCTTCTAGCAGTCAACTCACATCAGTCCCAGGGGTCATTAAAGTATCCATCCATAGCAAAGCAATAAAACAGGACACAATGATCATCTTCGGGACAAAAAAAAAAAGACATTTTTTAAGGAGCACAGTCAATATACACATTGGCTGGCTTTTATGAGGGCCTAATTCCTCTATCTTAGAAAGTTGACATGCTGTTTGGATCAAGCAAATTTTTTTCCCTGCTTAGGAATCTTTCTGTTCAATTGAGTCTCTACTGCCACATCTAGCTCTCTTATGGGGCCAGGAAATGGAGATCAAACATCCAGTTCTAACTAACATTCTCTAGACAAGACACAAGCAAGAAACCATGCATTGTCTGTGGATACAATTTCTCTCCATGAGAGTTTGAAGTTAGAGAAAGCAGCAAATCCTATCAGAGTAGCCAATGCCACAATCAGTTCAGCTCAAGCTCACCTCATATTAAACCTATTTCCAAGGGTTTTATGGCACAGCTTGTTCTACCATGATCATCACGTGAGCTCTTCTGGCCCTTACTTAATGTAACACTTCCAGGAACACATGTGCTGGTAAAGTTTATTTGCGTTAATATTCTCTCATGTCAATCACATGTAAGCCCTGGAAGTTGGTTTTTATATACAGAATCCAGTGCCTTCCTGGGAGAACTACTTTTTTCCCAAAACAAAAGACGACACAATTAGTATGATAATTGCGGAGTTTAATGAACACCTTGCTTCACTTCGGGGTCTCATCTGGGATTTCGGAGTGAACTGTGTCCAGAGGCTGCCAGTGGCAATTCATGAGGGAGTCGTAGAGTTCTTCACTTTTCACCATAAACTCTTGGTTTGATTCCTCAATATTCAAATGAAGATGTGGATCTGCAGAAGCCAATAATGGATATGAAAAAAATAGAGTTTTACAGGACACATACTAGAAATAGTTTAAAATTAGAAAGCTTTTAGAAAGCATTTGCAGGAAGTACTGCAGATAGTAAAGGTTAAAATTCTTAAATTGCATATTTCCTTTCAATAAGACTTGAAAATAGAAATTTAAGCTATAAAAGTAGTAGTGTCATCAAACTCAATGAGCATCCAGCTGACAGAAGAGATGGAGGAAAAAAATGGACAGATTTCAGATGCTTGGGGGATGGATTCAATTTGGGAGGAAAGGGGAAAAGGAAGGTCAAGAATGACTGCCATGTTTCTGGCATGAGCCAGATAGATACAATGCCAAACAATGAACCAAGCCAAGGGCCCCTTGGACAGGGGTTTGTAAAAATACACATGCTACTTTAACTGCTCAGTTAACAGATAAAGTGAATTAATTTTATACAGCAACTAATTCAGAAAGACAGGAGGACTTGGCCTTCCATCTCCGAACCCTGGAACCCTGTGACGAGATGGTATTATGTTATTGCGAACGTATTAAACGTGGATTTTCTGCCCAAGTTGTCAGGTTTCCAGAGCTTTCCAAGGCTTACAAGGTCATTAATTTTTTTAATCTATTTTTTTCCTCTCCTTGTACTGAATGTAATGGAAGAAGCCTTTTATGTTTTCCTTTGTAATTTTTGCAAGCCTTAGTTCCTTGAGGATCATAATTTGCTTCCTAATACTCATATGGGTTCATGCTATTCATCTGTATGCTTATTAGGGACTAAATCTTTGCCCCACAAAATTCTTCTGTTAAAAGCCTAACCCCCACAATGTGAAGGCATTTGGAGATGGGGCCTCTGGGAGGTTAGATGAGGTCATAAGAGTTGGGTGCTGGTCTGACAGAAGTAGTGCCCTTATAAAAAGCGACAGCAGGCAGGACACAGCAACTCATACCTGTAACCCCAACACTTTGGGAAGCTGAGACCAGTGAATTGCTTAAATCTGGGAGTTTGAGATCAGCCTGGGCAACATACTGAGACGTCACTACAAAATATAAAAATAATTTTTTTTAAAAAAAGAGCAGAGAACTTGCTCACATTCTCTCCTACAATGCATGCATAAAGAGGTCAAGTGTGGAAACAGCAAGAAGGCTGCTGTCTGCAAGCCAAGAAGAGAGCCCTCGCCAGAAACCAAATTATCCAGACCCTGGATATTGGATTTCCAGCCTCCAGAATGGTAAGAAAATAAATCTTTGTTTAAACCACCCAGTCTGTGGTACTATGTTACAGTAGCCCTAGAAGACTAATGCAGTACTCTTCTGTATTTATCATTTTAGAACCAAAATGGTCAAATAGGCTTTAGTCATCATATAAATTCCATGAGCTACTTCTCACTTTTCTTCATTGGAGTCATTCATGATTGTGTTGTCTGATTCTTATTCTTTAGAGCTTCCCATCCCTTTTGAGTTTCCTTTGAGCGTTTCTGGTCATAAAAGTAGATGTTTCCCTTTTTTCCCACTAAACATTCTGAAATTTTCTTACACTTCTGTCCCCGGTTCCCTTCCTTTACCGTTATGGGCAGTTGTCTGCTAATGGGTCCCTGACTGCATGCCCCTGGTGGGGAAAGAGGAGTTAGGATCATATGCTTATGAGCATGCTCTCCACTTAACCTGTGGCCAAGAAAACAGATATAGTGTGGTCAGCTCCAAACCCCAGATTACATGATCTCTGCCCTTCCAGTGATGTTGATCAAAACTATAATAGAAGCCTATTCAAGACAAACTAATTATATCATCCCTAAACCTGTGAATCTTCTAGACCCATGTTGTCCAACACAGTAGCCACTAGCCACATGCAGCTATTGAGCATTGCTGGCCCTCACTGAGATGTGATGTAAGGATAAAATATACACCACATTGAAAGCAGAATGGTGGTTGCCAGGGGATGAGGGAAGGGAGAGTGAAGAGTTGTTATTTAATGGGTATGGAGTTTCAGGTTATAAAATGAAGAGTTCTGGAGATGAATGGTGATGGTTACACAACATTACGAATGTACTTAATACCACTGATACATTTAAAAGTCTATTGCTTCCCGGCCTTTTGGCTAAGATCAAGTGTGATACATTTAAAAGTCAAGATGGTAAATTTTATGTTATGCATATTTCACCACAATAGGAACAATTTAAAACTCTGCTTGAAGGTAATGTCTGAATAGCCCTCAAAATAAGGGTCCCCTCAATCTGCAGGTGAGGGGGCAGCCATTAAAAGAAAAAAAATAGAAAAAATATATGCTGCATTTCAAAGACTTGATGTAAAAAAAGTCGTTAATTTTTATATTGATTGCATGTTGGAATAATATCTTGGATATTGCCTTAGTTTGGGCTGCTAACAACATATCAGAAACTGACTAGTTCGTAAACAACACACAGTTATTTCTCACAGTTCTGGAAACCGGAAGTCCAAGATCAGGGTGTCAGCGTGGTTGGGTTCTGGTGAGGACCCTCTTCTGGGTTGCACACTGCCCAGAAGTCATGTCTTCACATGGCAGAGGGCAGAGAGAGGAATCAAATTCCCTCGTGACTTTTATAAGGTCACCATTTCCATTCATGAGGGCTCTACCCTCATGACCTCACCTAATCCTAATCATCTCCCTAAAGACCCATCTCCTAAAACTATCACATTGGGAGTGAGGGTTTCAACATATGAATTTGGCGAGGGGGAGGAACACAAATTCAGTCCATACCAGATATTAGGTTAAGTAAGAAACATTAATTTCACCTATCTCTTGAGTTGGTTCTTTAATTTGGCTACTAAAAAATTTAAAATTACCCACATGGATGGCTTTGTGTTTCACATTGTCTATTTTTAAATTTCTATGTGTTTCAAACTGACAGAGAAAACTGTATGTATTTATCACGTACAACATAGTGTTTTAAGTATATATTCATTGTGGAATGATCAAAGGATCAAATAACTACCTCACATAGTTATCATTTTTCATTTTTGTGGTGGAAACACTGAATATCCACTAAGTATTTTTCTTTCTTTCTTTTTTTTTTTTTTTTTTAAAAGACTAGTCAAATGCAGCAGTAAGAAGCAAGGAAAGAGTAGAACAAAAAGTTCAATCTGTAACTGACTGAACAACCAATTGCGATAACTCACTACCTTCGAATTAGCCTGTATTTCTTCATTAACTATAGTCACCATGGTATACAATACATTTTTTTTTTTTTTTTGAGACGGAGTTTTGCTCTTGTTGCCCAGGCTGGAGTGCAATGGTGCGATCTCAGCTGACTGCAACCTCCACCTCCTGGGTTCAAGTGGTTCCCCTGCCTCAGCCTCCCAAGTAGCTGGGATTACAGGCGCACACCACCACACTCGGCTAATTTTTTGTATCTTTAATAGAGATGAGGGTTCACCATGTTGGTCAGGCTGGTCTCAAACTCTTGACCTCGTGATCCACCCACCTCGGCCTCCCAAAGTGCTGGGATTACAGGTGTAAGCCACCGTGCCCAGCCTACAATAAATCTCTTGAACGGTATTCCTCCTAGCTAACTGAAATTCTATCTTTTGACCAACATCTCCCTACCACTCTCTCCCTGCAACTACCCTAGCCTCTAGTAACCACCATTCTATGCTCTACTGCTATGAAATAAGCTTTTTAAGATTCCACATGAGTGAAATCATATGGCATTTGTTCTTCCGTGCCTGGTTTATTTCACTTGACATAATGTTCTCCATGTTCATCCATGTTGCCACAAATGACAAGATTTCATCCTTTTTACAGTTGAATAGTATTCTATTGTGTATATACGCATTTTCTTTATCCATTCATCCACTTATGGGCATTTAGTTTGATTCTGTATCTTGGCTATTGTGAATAGTGCTGCAATAGACACGGAGGTACAGATGTCTCTTTGACATACTGATTTCATTTCCTTTGGATATATGCCCAATAGTGGGATTGCTGGATCATATAGTAGCTCTACTGTTAATAATTTGAGGAAACGCCATACTTTTTATAACTGCTGTACCAATTTACATTCCCACCAACAGTATGCAAGGGCTCTTTTCTTCACATCCTACCCAACATTTGTTATCTTTCGTCTTTTTGATAACAGCCATTCTATCAGGAGTGAGACGATATCTCACTACTGTGGTTTTAATTTACAGTTCTCTGATGATTAGTGAAGTTGAACATTTTCTCATGCATCTATTGGTCATTTGTACATCATCTCTTGAGAAATGTCTTAAAAAATGGCCGGGCACGGTGGCTCACGCCTGTAATCCCAGCACTTTGGGAGGCCAAGGTGGGTGGATCACCTGAGGTCAGGAGTTTGAGACCAGTCTGGCCAACATGGTGAAACCCCGTCTCTACTAAAAATACAAAAATTAGCTGGGCGTGGTGGCGAGTGCCTGTAATCCCAGCTACTCAGGAGTCTGAGACTGGGTTCATTTGAACGGGGGAGGCGGAGGCTGCAGTGAGCCGAAATCACGCCACTGCGTTCCAGCCTAGACAACAGAGTGAGACTCACTCTCAAAAAAACAAAACAAAACAAAACAAAAAACTTATCCCTGTAACCAAAAACCATCTGTACCCCCAAAAACTATTGAAATAAAAATTTTTTTAAATGTGCAAAAGACCTGAATAATCAGGTTATTTTCTTGCTAATGAGTCATTTGATTTCCTTATATATTTAGCATATTAACCCCTTATTGATACAGGAGTTAAAAAGAAATTATTTAGGGTAAGAAAGTCCTCGGTAAGGTTTTGCTTTTCATGAACAGCTGCCCCCAAATCATTTTCTTTTCTAACAAACAGCAACCTGTAAAACTGAACTGCAGACACAGACAAGCAAGCTAGAAGCTTGCACATGCAAATGCCAGCAGTTGTGCCAATAGGAAAAAGCTACCTAAGGAATAGGCATGTTCAAAATGGCGGCTCCATCTTCTCTTTGCCAGCCACTTGTGCAGTAAGGAGCGGACAAGATGGCGGACAAGTGGAAAGTCTATTTGCATAATAAGATCAGGGTAGGGCAACCAGCCTTCGCCTGGCATCATGTAGACGTCACACCTGGTCTAGCCAATCTGGGCCCTACATAAATCAGACACCGCCTCCTCAAGCCTGCCTGTAAAATTGCCTGCTGTCTGCTACAGGCCTACTTTTCCTTTTCGGAGGCCTGTTTCCTGTCACACAGAGCTGCTCTCCTCTCTCCTTTCTTCTACCTATTAAGCCTTGCACTCCTTAACCCACCCACATGTGTCCATGTCCTTATTCCTCCTGGTGCAAGACGACGAACCCTGGGTATTTACCCCAGAAGATGCCTCTTCATAATCACTTGCATAGCGTGCAAATATTTTCTCCCACTCCGTTGTCTGTCTTCACTCTGTTACTGTTTCCTTTGCTGTACAGAAGCTTTTTAGTTCACTGTGATACTATTTTTCTATTTTTGCGTTTGCTGCCTGTCCTTTTGAGGTCATATCCAAAAAAATCATTGCCCAGACCAATGTCGTGGAGCTTTTCCCTTATGTTTTCTTCTAGTAGTTTCACAGTTTTGGGTCTTACATTTAAGTCTTTAATCTATTTTGAGTTGTTTTTGTATATAGTGAGAGATAAACAGTCTAATTTCATTCTTTTGCATGTGGACATTGTTTTCTGAGCACCATTTATTGAAGAGACTGCCTTTTCCCCATTGTGTGTTCTTGGCACCTTTGCTGAAAATCAGTGGGCTATAAATGTGTGGATTTATTTCTGGGCTCTCTATTCTGTTCCATTGGTTTATGTGTCTGTTATTATGCCAGTATCATGCTGCTTTGGTTACCACAACTTTGTAGTACAAAGTCAGGTAGTGTGATGCCTTCACCCTTTTTTTTTTTTGGCTCAGATTGCTTTGGCTATTTAGGTTTTTTTGTGATTCCATACAAATTATAGTATCATTTTTTTCTTTTTTTTTTTCCCAAGACAGGGTCTCACTTTGTCACCCAGGCTGGAGTGCAGTGGCGCCACCTTGGCTCACTCTAACCTCCGCCTCCCGGGTTCCAGCAATTCTCCCACCTCAGCCTCCCGAGTAGCTGGGACTACAGGCACGCATGCCACTATGCCTGGCTAATTTTTGTATTGTTAGTAGAGACGGGGTTTCACCATGTTGACCAGGCTGTTCTTGAACTCCTGACCTCACGTGATCCTCCCACCTGAGCCTCCCAAAGTGCCAGGATTACAGGCATGAGACACTGTGCACTCGGTCATTTTTTTCTATTTCTATGTAGAATGCCATTGGTATTTTGATAGAGAGTACATTGAATCTGGCTGGGCATAGTGGCTCATGCCTGTAATCCCAGAACTTTGGGAGGCCAAAGCAGGTGGATCACCTGAGGTCAGGAGTTCAAGACCAGCCTGGCCAACATGGAGAAGCCCCATCTCTACTAAAAATACAAAAATTAGCTGGGTGTGGTAATTCCAATCCTACTGTAATTCCAATCCTACTTGGGAGGCTGAGGCAGGAGAATTGCTTGAACCCTGGAGGAGGCGGTTGCAGTGAGCCGAGCTCAAACACCACTGCCCTCCAGCCTGGGCAACAGAGTGAGACTGTCTTAAAAAAAAAAAAAAAAAAAAAAAAGACAGAGAGAGTGCATTGATTCTGTAGATCACTTTGGGTAGTATGAACATTTTAATAATATTCATTGTTTTAATCCATGAGCATGAGATATCTTTTGTGTCTTCAGTTTCTTCCATCAACACTTTATAGTGTTCAGTATAGACATCTTTCACCTCAGTTAAATTTACTCTTAAGTTTTTGTTACAGCTATTGTACATGGGATTATTTTCTTGTTATCTTTTTCAAACAGTATTAGTGTATAGAAACAATTTTGTGTAGTAAAGTTACAGGATACAAAATTAATAAGTTTATTAGACCTAACAGTTTTTTGGCAGAGTCTGTAGGGTTTTCTCTACAGGCATACCTCAGAGATATTGCAGGTTTAGTTCCTAACCACTGCAATAAAATGAATATTGCAATGAAGCAAGTCACATGAATTTTTTGTTTCCCAGTGCATATAAAAGTTGTTTACATTGGCTGGGCATGGTGGCTTATGCCTGTAATCCCAGTACTTTGGGAGGCCGTGGCTGGAGAATCACTTGAGCTCAGGAGTTCGACACCAGCCTGGGCAACATAGTAAGACCTTGTCTCTGTTTTTAAAAAAATTTTTTTAAAAGAACAAATTTGGCCAGGCACAGTGGCTCACGCCTGTAATCCCCGCACTTTGGGAGGCGGAGGCAGGAAGATCATGAGGTCAGGAGATCGAGACCATCCTGGCCAACATGGTGAAGCCCCACCTCTACTAAAATACAAAAAATTAGCCAGGCATGGTGGTGCTTGCCTATAGTCCCAGCTACTTGGGAGGCTGAGGCAGGGGAATCACTTGAACCCAAGAGGCGGAGATTGCAGTGAGCCAAGATCGCACCACTGCACTCCAGCCTGGCAACAGAGTGAGACTCCATCTCAAAAAAAAATAAAATAAAAGAACAAATTTGTTTACAATGTAAATACCTTAAGAAATAGTTTATTGCGGCTGGGCACGGTGGCTCATGCCTGCAATCCCAGCACTTTGGGAGGATGACGTGGGTGGATCACCTGAGGCCAGGAGTTTGAGACCAGCCTGGCCAACATGGCGAAACCCCATCTCTACTAAAAATACAAAAGTTAGCTGGGCGTAGTGGCAGGTGCCTCTAGTCCCAGCTACTCAAGAGGCTAAGGCAGAAGAATCGCTTGAACCCGGAGACGGAGGTTGCAGTGAGCCGAGATCACGCCACTTTACTCCAGCCTGGGTGACAAAGCAAGACTGTCTCCAAAAAAAAAAAAAAAATAGAAAAAAAAATAGCTCATTGCTAAACAGTGCTAACAAGTAAGCACATACCGTTTGCGAAAATGGCACAGATACACTTGCTCAATGCAGGGCTGCCATAAACTTCTAACTTGTTAAAAAAAAAAAACAAAAAACAAAAACCATAGTCTCTGTGGAACATAATAAAGTGAAGTGCAATAAAATGAGGTATGCCTGTATATCACATCATGTCATCTTCAAAACTTCTTCCTTTCCAACCTAGGAACCTTTAGTTTCTCCCTCTTGCCTAACTGCTCTGGCTAGACTTCTAATATTATGTTGAATAGAAGTAGTGAAAGTGGGCATCCTTATCTGGTTTCAGATCTTAGAGGAAAAGCTTTCAGATTTTCCCCGTTCAGTGCAATATTAGCTGTGAGTTTGTTATATGGACTCTATTGTATTGAGGTACACTCCTTTTATACCTAATTTGTTGGAAGTTTTTATCATGAAGAGATAACTGAATTTTGTCAAATGATTTTTCTGCATCTACTGAAATGATCACCAAGCGCAGTTGCTCATGCCCGTAATCCCAGAACTCTGGGAGGCTGAGGCAGGCAGATCACCTGAGCTCAGGAGTTCAAGACCAGCTTGGGCAACATGGCGAAACCCCATCTCTACCAAAAATACAAAAAATTAGCTGGGCATGGTGTCATGCACCTGTGGTCCCAGCTACTTGGGAGGCTGAGATGGGAGGATTGCTTGAGCCTAGGATGCAGAGGTTGCAGCCGAGATCACGGCACTGCACTCCAACCTGGGTGACAGAGTGAGACCCTATCTCCAGGAAAAAAAAAAGAAAAATAATGTTTTTTGTCCTTCATTCTGTTGATGGGATAATGGGATGTATCATGTTTATTAATTTGTGTATATTAAACTATCCTTGCGTCCCTGGGATGAATACCACTTGTTCATGACAGATGATTTTGTCATTGTGCTGTTGAATTCAGTTTGCTAGTATTTTGTTGGGGACCTTTGCATCTATGTTCATCAGGAATATTGGTTGTAGTTTTTTCTTGTTGTGTCCTTTTCTGGTTGTGATATCAGAGTAATGCTGGCTTCATAAAATAAGTTTCAAAGTATTTCGTCTTCGATTTTTTGGAGTGTTTAAGACATGGCATTAGTTCTTCTTTAAATATCTGGGGGCTGGGCATGGTGACTCAGGCCTGTAATTCCAGCCCTTGGGGAGGCAGAGCTGGGAGGATCGCTTGAGCCTAAGAGTTTGAGACCAACCTGAGCAACAAAGTGAGACTCCACCTCTACAAAAAATAAAATAAAATGAAAAATAAATGTTTGGTAGAATTAAACAGGCCATCAGGACCTGGGCTTTTCTTTGATGGGAGACTTTTTTTTGAGACAGGGTCTCACTCTGTCACCCAGGCTGACATGCAGTGGCACATTCATAGCTCACTTAAGCCTCAGTCTTTTGGGCACAAGCAATCCTCCTATCTCAGCCTCTCAAATATTTGGGACTATAGGTACATGCTACCATACCCAGTTATTTTTTTAAATTTTTTGTAGAGACAAGGTCTCACTGTATTGCCAAGTCTGGTCTCAAGCCCCTGGGCTCAAATGATCCTCCCCTATTAGCCTCCCGAAGTGCTTGGGATTATAGGCATTATCCACCAGGCCTGGCCTGATGGGAAACTTTTTATTACTGTTTCAATTCCTTATTATTGGTCTGTTCAGGTTTTCTATTTCTTCATAATTTAATCTTGGTAGGTGGTAGATTGTATGTGTCCAGGAATTTACTCATTTCTTCTATGTTATCCAATTTACTGATGTATAATTGTTCATAATTGTCTTTTATGTTCCTTTGTATTTCTGTGATATCAGTTGTAATGTCTCCTTTTTCATCTGATTTTGAGTTTCTTTTGTTCTTAAAGGTTTGTTGACTATCTTTTAAAGAAACCAACCCTTCATTTTGTTGATCTTTTGTATTGTTTTTCTAGTTTCTATCTATTTTTGCTATAGTCTTTATTATTTCTTTTCTTCTACTAATTTTGGGTTTACTTTGTTCTTGTTCTTCTAGCTCCTTGAGGTGCAACTGCATTACATTTCTACTGACCAGTACTGTGCCAGATTGATGACCAGCCAATACTTGAGTGTTTATGATATGGCAGCAGCTGTTTAACCACCTAAAAGTACTGTAGACCTAGCATACCCACACTTCCTATAAGAAAGGTATCAATGTCCCCACTTTACAGAAACTGAAGCAGACACACTAGAGATTAATTTGTCTGGAATTACAGAGCTAGTAGGTAGAATCTGAACCCCGTGGCAATCTGTATCCAAAAAGCAGACTTTTACCTCTATTATTTTGATAGAGGCATGGGACAGCCAAATGCCTAGGCAAATAGGGTAAGGTCCCTGGAGAACCTCCAACCTGCCCAAGTCATTGTGCACAGGGGGCTTGGCTAAACATGCCCACGGTGAAAAATTCCATCTTTTAACACATGTGCAATAAGGGAAATAAATCAATGTGGAGTGGCTCAGACTAAGGGCCCACGTGCACATTGGAAGAATGAGGAGGAGTCACCAGGAATTCACACCTTATGCAGGGGAGGAGCCTGGCCTTTTCAACTCGTATGTGATGGCCTGGTATTCAATTTGTGAGGTGGAAACCTGTGTTTGGGATCCCTCTTTTTGTTAAGAGCTTTCCTTTCACTTAATAAATTCCATCCTCCTCACCCTTCAATGTATCCACATGCCTAATTTTTCCTGGTTGTGAGACAAGGACCCAGATTTAGCTGAACTAAGGAGCAAGAAATCCTGCATCAATTTTAATAAATTGCATAACTGATAAAAGGCAGGAAGAAAGACTCACACTTAATCTGAAAGAAATCCCACAAAGTTGAAATAAGCACCCTTTACTCATGTTTAAATCAAAGTACTAAAAACTACAACTGCTCAACAGCATATAAACATTTCTTTTCAACACCAATTTGATTTAATTTAAACACTGAGCACCTACTGACATGTGAACTCTCTGAATTAGTAACAGGGCCTACAAAGACTGATAACAACATGCTCCCTTCTTTGATAAAGTCATAAAGGCAGTGGGTGGGTTTGTCTGGTAGGGGCAGGGGTTTGGGCAAGAGAGAGATTAGACAAACATGTGATAAGACAGACATGTGATAAGAAAAAGGCAATAGTGTTCTCTGCATTTCTCCTCTATTTTTCTTTCCCATTACTTAAAAGAAGCAAAACATTTTTTCCCCTTCCTCAAATAAGACACATTCAGAGTGTTTGTCTCTAGGCAGGCAAACTTTGTTCTTTCCAAAACAAATTGAGAAGTACAGGAAGCACCACCAGACTGACACTACAGTGCTGCTCTGTCAGGTACCCCAGGATCCAATAACCCTGAGGCCACAGCAATCACCTCATGCTCTTCCCCCTTGAAAAAGAGAATTAAAGCATAATTCTCCTCAAAGTCTAAACTTACAGAGGAAATGGAGCTTAAGAACAATGTATTGTCTTCTTACTGTTTGGGAATGTCCCCCTTTCTCAGTCCTTCAGAAAGGCCCAAAGAGGTGGCTTAGTTAAAGTTGTTCCCATAGAACCAGTTTCTAAAAACAGGAGAAATTACTGAAGCATATGGCTTAGGCAACCTACATTGGAATTTTCCAATAGAACCTTCCAGTTTCTAGCAAGCTGAGTGAATGAGAAACCAGGAAATGGGGTTTTGTTTCCAACCACTTCAGCACAAGGTTTATGTTACCTTCTAGTGGGTCTTCATCTTGGTTTTCAGCTAGAGGTGTGGTTTCCTGCAACAAAATATTATCTCATGAGAAAATAATTTTACTTAAAGGTTTAATATCAATACATACTTTATTGGGAAAAACTCTAGCTCTCAAAAAAACTACCTAAAATAAAAATAATATTGACAATTAATCTCTTTAAATCAACTTTTGAATTTGATGAAAAGAATCTTTAGGTGGCATAGTACAATTATGAAAGAAGTAAACTGAATCACAGAAGAACTGTCACAAAGAGGAACAAGCCTAACGAGGGCCCCTGGCCCCTGGATTTTCTGGGACCTAACTAGCATCCTAGAGCCTGAGCTAGGAAACCAGACACCAGCGACCCTGGTATCCAGGCTCCTTATTTCTTGTACTACATGCCTGACTCTACCTAGAGTTCTGCTCCTCCTTCCAGAAGACAATCTGTTAAGTCTCCATGAGCACGTTTTTCTCATGGCCTTCTAATCACATCCTCAAACCCGTGACTCAGCTAAGAACCAGGATATTAGGTGCTCAAGAAAATGCAGAGGCTACAGCAAAGCAAACCAATCATATCCTTACATAATGAGAGAAGTAAACTGCAGAGGTACTCCCAAAGTAAATCTTGGTTGGTTAACCCAGACCCTGTTGGCTCTACTGGGGCAGCATACGTTTTTATGATTCTTCTATGTAGACCTGTTGGGAACCTGTCTTTTTAAGTATGGCCAGCTATTCCAAGGAATCACTATCAAGAAAGGGCTGATGTAGCTCCTGGCACTTAATTAAGCTTCCCTTGCTAATAAGAATGAGAAGATACTGAGAGCCAAAGATCTACTATCTTTTCTTTTCAGTCTATCTGAAAGTATGCCTCCCCTTCACTCTGAAATATACTGAGGTTTGGAAAATAGGTTATATAGTTACCATAAATTTCAAAAGACAATCTGTCTTTTTTCTATTTAGATACGGCTAAGACCGCAGGCATGGTGGCATGCAGCCGGTAGTCTCAGCTACTTGGAAGGCTGGAGCAGGAGGACCACTTGAACCCAGGAGATCAAGACTGCAGTGAGTTATGATGGCACCACTGCACTCCAGCCTGGGCAAAAGAGCAAGACATCATCTCTAAAAGCTAATTATATAAAAAGAAAAGAAAGAAATGGCAAAGACACCCAGAATCCACACTTCCATAAGTTCCTTTCCCATAATACAAGACTTGAGTAACCACACATTTCCTCCTTTCAGTGTGTGTTCTGGTAAATGTGGATGCTAAATAACCAGGATGAGGGAAGCAGGAAGTATCTGGAGACAGAGCATTCTCTCTGGTCTGAGGGCCACCTGTGCTGTGTATGCAGCTGGCTGCCTTTAAAGAAAAGCACATTTATAAAAGGCTTTCCTCAGCTAGAGATAGTCTGGGAAGGTGTGCTGATGGACCACAAAGACCCGAGAATCATTTTGGAGACATCCACCTCCACAACGTGAAAATGTAAAGGAGAGGGCTGGAGAGGGGGTAACCCCTTTAACTTGGGGAGATAAAGGTTATGGACAGAGGCACAGCACATTGGGGGAAGCAGGGAATGACTAGGACATCTTGGCAAGGACACACGTTATTGGAGAAGACCAAAATGGGGATGTGGGAGTAAAAGAGCGCCACCACAGAGGCTTACCATCTTTAATTTCACTCAGCAGCTTCCCAACAGGGGACACCCAGCAGGATGGCAGGCAGATGGCACAGGGGGTCACTACAGCCACAAAAGATAACATATTTATATAATTCTTGTATGAAAAATGCATGTTATAGTAATAATTCGGCCTGAGGGTGAGATAAAAATCCCAGACTGTGCCAACAAAAATGGACAGAGGAATTGAGAGAAGGGGTAGCCAGGTGAGAAAAAAAGGATGTTCATTTCTTAATTTTCTCAAGAGTGACGAAAAAATCAAGAAATACTTTTGTTTCTGAAGTTGATAATATACTAATTCCTATACTTCTCTATTTAGAGATATAAGGGTAACCACCAAAAGACAGACCGTCTCCCAAAAAAGAGCAAAAAGAGAAGGGGCAAAAGAAAAAAAAAAAAAAAAGAGTGCCAAAACCACAGGCAATGTAGTGAAAGATTTTTTTTTTAAGTGCTGCAATATCAAACATCTGTTAAAAGGGAAAAACCCAAATTGGGCTAAAAGGGGGAAAAAATGACAAGAAATCTAACAAGATATTTTATATAAGAGGCACACCTAAAACAGACTTGAGAAAAATTGAAAATGAAAGTTTGGGCAGTGAAATATCATAATATAAAGCAAATGTAAGTTTTAAAAGCCAAGGGACTAGATATAAAATTCAATTTTCATTTTAAGGTAAAGATCATCACACAAATGGTGTCACTCTGCATATTAGGAGACAAGCTGGGGTGGGGGAAGTCCGTAACATTTAGACTCCAAAGTGTTAATTTCTCTAACATGTGAATATCTTATGCAGTCAAGCAAGAGGGACACAACTCAACAGAAAAATTAGAAAGAGGATATCAAAGTCACAGAACACAGATAGCAATAAACATTTCAAGAGGTATTTGCCCTCAATAATAGATAAATGCCTCCCTGCCCTATTAGATTGGCTAATCATACACAGACAAATGTAGAGTAGCAAGAACACCCACCACAATAATGAAAAGTGTAAATTCATGCAGACTTTAGGTAACTTGCTATTAAAATTTTTTAATGTTATATCCTTTAATCCAGCCCTTCCACATCCAGAATTATATTCTTGGGGAAAAAAGCAACACTCAGACAAATGCTTGAAGATAGGTAAGTTTGTTAAAGCCCTGAAAATATTTAAAATGTCAGATAAGGGATGAGCTAAAAATCGCAATGTATCTAACTGCGCTCGCTCTGTTGCTCAGGCTGGAGTACAATGGCACAATCATGGCTCATTGCAGCCTCAAACTCCCGGACTCAAGTGATCGTCCCGCCTCAGTCTCCCAAGTAGCTGGGACTACATGTGTGAGCCATCTTGCCCAGACCATAAGTGGACGATTTTTTAAAGAAAGGTCTCCTTATGCAGAAGCAAGCAAACAGCAAACCAGTATGTACTACATAGTTCGTTCTTGCCCAAATCATCCCCTAACCACCAAAACAGAAAGATGAACCACATTGATTTAGCAAGAGTACAGGAGAAAGATCTAGAAGACATAGATCCACTCCACAGTACTTTCTTCTAAGTGGGAAGGGAATGGGGAAGGAGGAGGGGTGTGTGTGGGGGGGAACTTTTCCCTTACTTCAATACATCTTTGTGTGATTTGAGAAATATGTCACTTTAGTAATTCAAAGTATTAAAATATATTTTTAAAGTGTGTTTATGTCCAACTGCTATAAAACAAACCCCAAAACTACCTTTTGTCCTATATAGTGTTAAAGAGTAAAATTTATCGAATTATGATAATCTAAAATTTAGCAGCAAGAATTTAGAAAAAGACTTCATTAGCTTTTTGTGTTGTTTCTAGAAGAGAATGGGAAATTATCTGCAAGTGAACACTTCTAGTTTATACACGTCCAAACTCAGCAAATCATATAAATTAAACATGTGCAGGGACTTTTTGTGTATTATACCTCAATAAAGCTATACAAACATTTTTCTTAGGCTATCAGCTTTACTCTCTAGTATTAAAACAGGTAGCAAAAGCCATGTCTGTGGGAATTTGGATGACAGGACACAGATGTGTGAAGATAGGAAAGTGATGTTTACTATTATTGGGCACACGAATGACACAAGATTCATTCTAGCAAGGGATACCTTAGGCATAACCAGAGTTCCAGCTGTGTGTTCAGGGGTCTCATGCGCAGAAAAACAGTCCTTTCCATTTCCATCCACTGCACAGCCATAGCTGTAGCCAGAAAGAAGGTAAGAGCCGTGCTGTCGCGCATACCAGTTGCCATAGCGGTAACTCTGGCTGGGCTGGAACTCCTGCTTCACTCTAATAGCAGAGGGGAGACTACAGGAATGACAATCATCACAACCAACGCAGAATCATCCACAAACCCCCAAACCCTTTCTTCTTTCCAGGAAGTTTGCAGTAAGCTGAACACCTATGTTCAAAGCCATAGTTTGATACCTAATGTAGATGACGGGTTGATGGGTGCAGCAAACCACCATGGCACGTGTATACCTATGTAAAAAACCTGCACGTTCTGCACATGTACCCCAGAACTTTAAAAAAAAAAAAGCCATAGTTTGTAAGTTACCAACAGTTATGTAGCAAATAGAACAGTAACAGCTTTCCTTTTCAAAGTAGGAGAAAACCACTCACCTTTGCCAGTAGCAGTAATAGTTATTTTGTTGAGCTATGCCAAAATCTGCAGAACTCTCTGGTTGGGCCATTTACCCAGAAACTTTACAAAAAGAGAGCAGAATCCAGTTTTTATTCCTGCGTCAAAAATCCAGCTTGTGGGCTGAAACCTCTCAATCCTGACAAATAAGTCTCGCAACTACATCTGAGATAATTACATTTAGTGGCAATTCCTGCTAGGCAATTAATTGCTTGACTTTCCTGACAACGGGGCAAAGGTGTGGGTGGGGGAGGGGTGTACTGAGGCACCTGGGGGAACTTCTGCAATCTGTTCCTCGGGCTTCCACCTGCCAGCCCCTCTCTCCCAACTGTCAGGCAGCGGGAGCCAGCAGAACCCCAGGGAGGGACAGAAGGGGTAGGTATGTTGGTCGACAATGAAGGATAGTCTCCACTCCACCCCTTACCATAACAGGTAAAAGAGGAAACTCTAATAACTAAAACCTTAAGACAAATACATTTCTCTCCTCTGTTACCTGCTGAGAATAACTATTGGAACTAGCACCTGCTGGCTTTTTCTTTTTTTAATTCCACGCAGGTTGAAAGCATCATCCAACTACCTGCAAAATTAAGAGGCAGAGAAGAACGCGCTCCCTCGCCCCCTTCCCTTCTCTCCTCTTCTCTTACGCTCTACATTAATGAGAGTACAGGATACAATTTTAAAGAAATATTTCTCTGGTTCAGTTTTTTTTTTTAAAAAAAGCATAAAACTTCCCAAACTTCGATGTGCATTCAAATGACCTGGACTTGTTTAAAATGTAGGTTCTCTAACTTGACAGATTTGGAGTGGAGCCTCAGATTCTGCCTTTATTAGCCAGCTCCCGCCACTTGAAGTAGCAAGGTTACACAGTGTCAAAATTCAGGATAACTTTTAAGTCCATATGGGGCACTTAGGGTTTGGCCATTTCCCTGCAGCTTGCTAATAACTAAGTTCTTAATGTATTTACTATTTACCTGTAATGCGAAAAATAGCAAACATGATGAATTCAAAACATTCGGATCATTCAATCATTCACCAGTTATTGAGCCATTACTATACTCATCCCTGAGTATCCATGGGAGATTGTTTACAGGATCCCCCTCAGATACCAAAATCCTTGGATGCCCAAGTATAAAATGGTGTAGTATTTGCAAAGAACCTACACACACCCTCCCATAAACCTTAAATTCTGTCTGGATTACTTATAATACCTAATACAATGGCTATGTATTACTTCATGTGGGTTCACCAGTAGTATCCAGCATGTGGCAAATTCAAGTTTTACTTTTTGAAACTTTTTGGAGTTTTGGGGTTTTTTGTTTTGTTTTGTTTTTGAGATGGAGTCTCCCTCTGTCACCCAGGCTGGAGTACAGTGGCATGATCTTGGCTCACTGCAACCTCCACCTCCCAGGTTCAAGTGATTCTGCTGCCTCAACCTCCCCAGTAGCTGGGATTACAGGCATCTGGCACCACGCCTGGCTAATGTTTGTATTTTTAGTAGAGACAGGGTTTCACCACATTGCCCAGGCTGGAGGGCAGTGGCATGATCTCTCCTCACTGCAACCTGTGCCTCCCAGGTGCAAGTGATTCTCCTGCCTCAGCCTCCCCAGTAGCTGGGATTACAGGTGCCCACCACCACGCCTGGCTAATTTTTAGTAGAGACGGATTTTCACCATGTTGGCCAGGCTGGTCTCAAAACTTCTGACCTCAGGAGATCCGCTCGCCTTAGCCTCCCAAAGTTCTGGGATTACAGGCGTGAGCCACCGTGCCCGGCCTCCCAAGTATTTTCAGTCCACGACTGGTTGCATCCAGGGATGCAGAACCCACAGACGCTGAGGGCCGATGGTATCCGCAAGGCAGGGTAACTGGCATTGGTGATGTACTGGAGTTTATAGAGAGTGGATTTCCTCATGTCTTCAAGGGAGATTTTATTGATTAGCAACTGTGGCAGACATTGTTAAGTGCCACCCAATATTGGTTTATTTTCTTCCTTAATAACAATTCTGATTTCACTTGGGCTAGCAATAGGCCCAAGCTAAAAGACTACATTTCCTAGCTTCTCCCTTGCAGCAAGATGTGGCCAGGTGGTCAGTCTGGCTAAGAAGATGTAAACAGAACTAGTAGAAGGGGATAGGGGAAAGCTGTGTGGGAAAAGGGTATTTGCTTAGCTGGAGGGTCTGGTGCTGGGATTACAAATATGACGGCTGGTGTCAGAATAACTCTGCAGCTATCTTGGACTATGAGGTGACATCCAGGAAGGCATCATGCAGAAGAATACTGGGATCCAAGACAGAATGAGTCTAGGTCACCAATGACTAAGGACTCCTTCCACTAGCACTAGACTGGCCTACCGCTGGTTTACTTAATGTCTTGTTTAGACCACTATTGTTATGTCAGGTAAAACACAATTCCTAACTACTGTAGTTTAGACAGCCAATAAAACATGTCAGTTAAAGATTCTTTTCCTGTAAAATTTTTTTTCTCTCACTTTAGGACTGACTTTATTTTACACAAAGAAAATCACAATTATGGCTATAACCAGGTAAGCATTGAGGCTGCAGTTGGAAAGCAACGTGGAAGTTGAACATTGAGGAGGTGCTAAGGAGGCTGAGGAAGAGAGAGGTCAATGTAATCATGTTGCAACCACCTAGGAAGATGGCAGCAGCTGTGGAACAGAAGGTTGTAAGCAAGATCCCAGGGTAAAGATGGGCACTTAGGCCTTGGAGATGACAGTGACAAGGGCTCACAAGCGCTGTTTTGCTCACTAAAAGCCCCAAATGCAAACCTTCTGTTTCAACTAGATTACTCCCATGAATCAGGTGAAGCAAATTTCTATTGGGGCACACTACTGGACAGGTTCAGGGCACGTACAGCATTATCTCCACTTCCCTTCGTGCTGGAAATACAAAGGAGACCAAAACCCCCAGGAATACATTCACGTGCAACCTCCATAGTCCTTGAATTTAACAGAGTTGCTGCCTGTCACATTGAGAAAGAGGAGAATTCAGCAGGAATATGAGACTCTCATATTTCTAACAGGGCTGATTTTTCTCTACTGTGTCCTGCTTGTACCCCAGGATATCCACTTTACCACCCTCAACCACCCAAGAAGAAAAACTAGCTTTTACTTTAACAAACCGAAGCTAAGCACTCAACAAATATTTGTTGAATGAATGAATAAATCAGAGCATAGCTCAAGAGCAAAAACCTTTTCAATCAATAATTTAAAAGCAAAGCTACAAAACAATATCCTCTCGTGCTTTAGTGTTTAATGAACTCTCAACATTGGTTGTTTCTTGGCAGCTGCAGATTTCACAAGAATGAGATTAAATGGCTTTTTACATCCTGTATTTGGAAAGAGAATAGGAGGATTTACAGGAAGTTATGCTCAGTTCCAATCCAGTTAAACAGGTATATAATTCTCTTTTGTCTTTCTTCAGACAATGAAAATCCGCAATCTAAGACCTGAAACTACTGCCACAGCCATGCATAAAATGAAATGCTGCTGCTTTCCTCTCTGTTAAAGAGAATGTTCAAGGCCGAGGACACATAAAAAAGAGCAGCATTGCTGGCTCTGTTATTTAGCTGTGTGTTCTTGAAAAAGTCACTTCTCCAGACATATCTCAGCATTTATAACCTAAGACTGAATCACTGCATTTTACCCTTAATGAGGTACGCTTACACTAATCTTTTTGAAACAGTACTTAAATTGTAGCAGGACAAGCCGCAGACAAAACCCCTCAGCCAGCGAGTTTAAGAAAGAAGGGCTTTATTCGGCCGGGATCTTCGGCAAGACTCACGTCTCCAACAACCAAGCTCCCCAAGTGAGTAATTCCTGTCCCTTTTAAGGGCTTACAACTCTAAGGAGGTCCGTGTGAGAGGGTCGTGATTGACTGAGCAAGCGGGGGTACATGACTGGGGGGCTGCATGCACCGGTAATTAGAACGGAACAGAACAGGACAGGGATTTTCACAGTGCTTTTCTATACAATGTCTCTAATCTACAGATAACATAACCGATTAGGTCAGGGGTCGATCTTTACCAGGCCCAGAGTGTGGTGCCGAGCTGTCTGCTTGTGGATTTCATTTCTGCCTTTTAGTTTTTACTTCTTCTTTGGAGGCAGAAATTGGGCATAAGACAATATGAGGGGTGGTCTCCCTCCCTTAAAATCCTAATGCTCTCCTCCAAAAATGTATATCCACATATTTGCATATAATTTCATGGGATTCAAAACCCCTGAAATTTATCCAGGAACCCCCAGATTAGTAACACCTGGACTAGATGTTGTCTAAGTCCTCTGAGCTCTGTAATTGGTTCCACTGATTTCTAAGTTTTGGGGTTTTTTTTTCTTTTTAAAGTAAAACCACTTTGAGTTATGTTCATGGTGCTTACACCATGGTTTCCATTCTAGAACCAACTATATTCTAAAATTCCTGGTTGGAACAAAAGTTACTTAAGCAAGTAAAAGTGTGACAGTCTGGTAACAGATTCTAAATAATCACCTTTTTATGGTGATAAGCTAAAATTTATTTTAAAAAGTGTATTAAACAAGTATTAATACTTCTCAAACAGCAGTTGAGATGTCCCTGGGGTAAGGAGACAGGGCACCAGGGACATTCCAGAAGTAACAGAATATACAAAGCATGATTTTGAAAGTTTTAGCGGTTTTTAATTTGTGGATGAGGGTGTAACACTTTTGCATTAAAATAAACAGATATGTTGTGGAGTAAAATGCATAAAGGCACATTTTTAAAGATAAAATGTGAAACTTACAATGTCCTGCTTACTAATACCTTGTCTCACGTCCAGAGGACACTTACTTCACACTCCTCTAATCTTAGTGGTTCTCTGGTGGAAACTTACACATTACAAAAAAAGTAATCTATTCTAAATCCTAAAATAATTTGATTTTTTGTAACACAATGAAGATAACTAGCACAAAGTAAAGAAAGAATGACTTTTTTTTTGAGACAGTCTCACTCTTGCCCACGCTGGAGTGCAGTGGCGGGATCTCGGCTCACTGCAATCTCCACCTCCCTAATTCAAGCGATTCTCCCGCCTCACCCTCCCGAGTAGCTGGGACTATAGGCGCCCACCACCACACCCAGCTAATTTTTGTATTTTTAGTAGAGACGGGGTTTCACCATGTTGGCCAGGATGGTCTCGATCTCTTGATCTCGTCAAAGTGCTGGGATTACAGGCATGCGTGAGCCACTGCGTCTGGCCATTTTATTTTATTTTTTGAGACAGAGTCCTGACCTCAAGCAATCCGCCTGCCTAGGCCTCGCAAAGTGCTGGGATTACAGGAGTGAGCCACCGTGCCCAGCCAAGAAAGATTTTGGAAGAGTGAATGAATACAAGGATTTCCACTAGACTGAGAATTAGTTTGTCAACAGCATTTCAGTGTCTTGAGAAGTGTTTACATTTGGCGTGGACAAAGCTGGCAGATGACGTAGAAAGTAAAAAGTTGCCTCTTCAAAGTTTCCCTTCTTGTTAAAGAATAAATCATAAATGTTAGAAACAATAGTTTCTTTTAAAGACTAACTTACTTCAAGCCTCCTTGCTTTGTGCTAATAACTCTGTTAAGCCCTATTGTATGTAACTGCGGGACATGCTCACAGGCCCAGGCACGTTCCAGCTCACAGCCTGTTTAGCAAATCGGGTATCAGTTTAAGATTATGAGGTCCAGCCCCAGCCAACGGATGCAGGACACAGCAGTAAGGACAACCCAAAGGCGTAAGGGACAAATATGTCTGCTTTTCCTTTGTTCAGGAGTGCTCTCACCATCGTTCCATCTGCAATTGAGCACCCTTTCTGCATAAAGTAAAAATTGCCTTGCTGAGAGATCTTTTGTCTCCATGCTGACTTTTCTTCGTGTCACCAATTATCTATTTCTAACAATAACAAGGTCTTTTCTGCACTGCAGTGACAACCAAAGCATCCCAAATGAAATCATTTCTGCAAGACCCAAACTAGCCTCTATTAACACGTACTAACAATTCAGAACACCAGAGAAGAAAAGTTATTGGAAACAAAAGGGTCTAAGCGCTGAAGCACTGTATCGCACTTGAAATGGAGGCTGAAGATTTGAGAAGGATGGACTATGCATCTTGTTTACCAAATGACCTACTACGGTGTTTATGAGAACTATACGAACCAAGATTTACTCTGTTGGGAGCTTGTAGGAAAGCTGTAATGTCTAAGACATACCTGAATCTCTAAACCTTATTAAATAAAACTTTTTTTTTCTTTGAAAGGGGGCCTGGCTCGTCCCCCAGACTGGAATGCAGTGGAGCGATCTCGGCTCACTGCAGCCTCGACCTCCTGGGCTCAAGCAATCCTCCCACCTCAGCCTTCCGAGTTGCTGAGGCCACAGGCGGGCGTCGCCATGCTGGGCTAATTTATAACATTTTTGTAGAGACGGCATCAAAATATGTTGCTCAGGCTCACTTTGTTTTCCCAACTCTCAAATGAAGGCTCTGGCCGGGCGCTGTGGCTCACGCCTGCAATCCCAGCAACTTTGGGAGGTCGAGGCAAGCGGATCACCTGCGGTCGGGAGTTCAAAACCAGCCTAGCCAACATGGAGAAACCCTGTCTCTACTAAAAAATACAAAATTAGCCAGGCGTGGTGGCGTATGCCTGTAATCCCAGCTACTCGGGAGGCTGAGGCAGGAGAATTGCTTGAACCCGGGAGGCAGAGGTTGCGGTGAGCCGAAATCGCGCCACCGGACTCCAGCCTGGGCAAAAAGAGCGAAACTCCGTCTCAAAAAAAAAAAAAAAAAAATGAAGGCTCACTGCTCCCTCCCCAGGAGGTGCCGCAACCTTGGCCAATACAGCCCCAGAGTTAGACAAGCAGACAGAGAAAGTGTGCAGGGCTGGGGTTCTGGCCCGGGCAGACGGGAACGCGGACACATCTAGCACTCCGAGTCCGTCAAGGCAGCGCGAGCGCTGCGCCGCTGGAACAAGTCACCGCGAACCCTAATCCCACCCCTCCTTACCCTATTAACGACAGAAAGCCTCGTTCCGCTGGTCCCTGAACAAAAACTCCTACCCTACTAGTACACAGCCCACAACAATGCACGCTGCCGGCGCTACAGCCCCTAAGCAACCGGCCGGAAGTCGGCCCCACCTCCTCCTGATGTCACGGAAATGAAGGGCTTCGCAGAGGATGTCCCGCCCGCTCCCTTCAGACGGGCGTAGCTGGCACCTTCCTGAGATATGCCTGCTTGCCCCCGATTTTTTTCTCCTTGCAGTGAGAACCTCCTCATGTGGCATCTTTACTTATTCTCTTCTTGGAAAATCCATGTGACCTCCCCGCGCTTAAAGTGTTTCCACGTTACAGGCGACTTAAAGGCAGCCCTGGAGCCTGACGTATAATTCGAGCGCCGATGCAGAAAGGAGTCAGGTGTTTTTTTTTTTTTTTTTTTGGTTTCCGGTTCTGTCACCTCCAGGCTGAGCCGGGCTGGCGGAAGAGGCACGTGCGCTGCTGAATGGAGCTGGTCGCTGGTTGCTACGAGCAGGTCCTCTTTGGGTTCGCTGTACACCCGGAGCCCGAGGCTTGCGGCGACCACGAGGTGAGATACCGCGTAGTTAGAGACAGTCGGAGGCGGGGCCGGGAAGGTCGGGTTTGGTTCCTACACAGCAGAGGTGAACATTGGAGCGCCTGCTGTTCACTGGATGATTTGATGAATCAAACCTAAGAGACTTAAGAGAAAAGCTAACCTTTTAAACCGTAGAATGGACATTTTATCAAAATGAGGCAATATCTGCCTTTTCTAGTAGACAAAAGGTCCACGGGACACAAAGGAAACCGGCATTTCTGCATACGGACAAATGAGTCGTAGATTGTGGATTTAAGGATCGATCCCATAAGTTGACAGTATTCAGAATTTAATGAAAGAAGATCTCGCTCTTTTGCTGAATTTCTGCCCTGGAATTTTACAAATTACTAGAACTAGATTAGGATAAATCCCTTATAGGTAAAGCGATACCAATTCATTATTTGTTGGGAACTTATGGCGAGCTGGGCGGTGGAGATGCAAAGATGCTGGAGGTATGGATCTTGCCTTAGAGACGTTGCCTACATAAGGGGTGGAGGACTGAGGAGACGCATAGATGGAGAGAAATTACAGCAGAATATGATATTACTAGATGTGTGAATAGATAAAAAGGTCAAATAAATTATCAGTAGTCAAATAGGTAGATAGGACTATACTCACGACTAGGAATCCGACCTCCTAACATCTAGCTCACTTTTATTCTTGAAGCAATTCTAAGCATTTTCTAGAAAATTGAGTACAGTACTTCTTTATGAAGTCAAGGCGTCGGTCTTTAATTATCCAGAAAATTTGGAAGTATATCACTTGGCCTATTGCTTTCGTTTATTTTGTTTCCTACTCCAGTTATTTGCTCTTTGTCTTTGGCTGAAAAGTGATGTGTTTTGAATAGTCAAAGATGATGCTATTTAATTTTTTTTTTTTGTAGTGAAATTACTTAACTGTGTTCCAGACACACAGTAGTCCTCACAGCAACCCTCTGAGGAGGATGCAGTTATTCTCGTTTTGCAGATGAAGTACCAAAATGTTGGTCCTAGATAGGTTAAGTGACTGCTGAAGGACACACAGATAATAATTGACACAGCTGACCCCAAAATGTCAGGAGCCCCCGAGGGTCTCTGACATTTGAAACTCTTAACCATTACCCTATACTTCTACTAAATCTAAGCAATAGCCTAGATAACCTACATTATGTGAATTTTAAAAGGTTATTATTTGATTTAAGGCCATAGCAGACCCGCAAAAATGCTTGATTCAAAGGAGGCCCCCTTGGTCTTAAATGATGGAAGGAGTATCTTCTGTAACTAAGGACCTGATTTGCAGTAACACATGTTCAAAGAAGTTTGATGGGTTTTTTTCTTTTTCGGTTTGTTTTGCAAATACTTTTTGATGCAGTTCCTTCAGTTTAAGGAGTGAGTGAGTGTGTGTGTGTGTCTGTGTATTTTGCTGTCATGCTTCGCACTCATCCAATCAGACTTCCTAATGCTATTGTCACATGGCAATAAGCACAGAGTTCCTGAGATTTCGTTATTGGTGATTCTCTAGAGCTTACGTTGGTACTCATGGAAACATACCTTTACTCTGTTGGTTTTTCTTTATAAGACTTGTCCACTGGGCGCGGTGGCTCATGCCTGCAATCCCAGCACTTTGGGAGGGCGAGGCAGGTGGATCACCTGAGGTCAGGGGTTCAAGACCAGCCTGGCCAATGTGGTGAAACCCTGTCTCTACCAAAATTAGCTGGGCATGATGGCAAGTGCTTGTAATCCCAGCTACTCAGGAGGCTTAGGTGGGAGAATCGCAGTTCATTGCTGTGTATCAACTGCTTGGAATAGTGCCAGACACATAGTAGGCACTCATTATTTGAAAGAATAAATTCAAATAAAAATGTGAATATCTGAAAAAATAAATTAAGTCTCACATATAAAGTAAATACACTAAAGAGTTAAAGATTTGTGTAGGATCTAAAAGTCTTCCTTAGTCCAGTCTCCATTACTGTGTTCTAGAGTGATGATACCCAGTGTTGCCTGCCCACCTCCTTGCTTTACCTTCCTCATCAAGTCTCAAGTCCTTTGTGGTAAACTACATGTCATTTTGTAGTTTAACATATCATTTTTCCATTTATAGGATCCATTGATAGTTTTCATGAATCGTGGAATGATTTATCTTTTCAGAAACAGATAAATGGTTCCGTGATTCATGAAAACTACCAGTGGATAGAGTTGGTAGAACTGTGGTGTGACTGGCATTAATTGTATGTTTTCATCTTCAGCAGCAATGGACTCTTGTGGCTGACTTCACTCACCATGCTCACACTGCCTCCTTGTCAGCAGTAGCTGTAAATAGTCGTTTTGTGGTCACTGGGAGCAAAGATGAAACAATTCACATTTATGACATGAAAAAGAAGATTGAGCATGGGGCTCTAGTGCATCACAGTGGTAAGAAAATTGTATCCCTTAAGATGAGAACATAGAGGTTTTCTTTACAATTTGACTTCAGTTGAACAATTTGTTGTATCTATTTTATAGCAGATTCTTTGCTAGAAGATAGAGGAATTTTAAAAAAAAATGGTTTCTTAGCCTGGCACAATGGCTCACACCTGTAATCCCAGCACTTTGGGAGGCTGAGGTGGGTGGATCACCTGAGGTCAGTAGCTGGAGACCAGACCTGTCTCTACTAAAATACAAAAAAAATTAGCCAGGTGTGGTGGCACACACCTGTAGTCACAGCTACTCGGGAGGCGGAGGCAGGGGAATCGTTTGAACCCGTGAGGCAGAGATTGCAGTAAGCTGAGATCACGCCACTGCATGCCAGCCTGGGCAACAGAGTGAGACTCTGTCTCAAAAAAAAAAAAAAAAGGTTTCTTGCTCTGGGTTGGCTTACGGTCTGTATTGGGAGACAGAAAGGAGGCATTTAACCCAGTCAGAGTGAGGTTTTCACTGAAACCTTCCTTAAAATGACATCTGAATTATCTTAAAAGAGAAATGTCAGTTATTGGGCAGGTAAAGTTTGCAAGGAGGGAGAAAGGACATTCCAGGCAGAGCCGGCAGTGTGAGGAGCACAAGTAGTAGCATCATAGCAATATCTGACTTTATTGAGGGCATATTATGTACCCCTCTGTGTGCCAAGAAAGTAGAAGAGAACACCTAGTTTCAAAGATGTAGCGTCACAGCAATATCTGACTTTATTGAGGGCATATTATGTACCCCTCTGTGTGCCAAGAAAGTAGAAGAGAACACCTAGTTTCAAAGATGTAGCGTCATAGCAATATCTGACTTTATTGAGGGCATATTATGTACCCCTCTGTGTGCCAAGAAAGTAGAAGAGAACACCTAGTTTCAAAGATGTTACTTGACTTGCCGAAGGTCTCAAACACTGGAACTAGAACTTGAACCTGGGCCTAGAGCCCATGCTTTTGACCACTGGTGTTCATAGGGAACCGTAAGCAGTTCCGGATTATGAGAAGGTTAAATTGGGAGTTTGAGGGGCTAGAGAAGTAGATGGGACCAGATCCTGGAGTCCTTGAGAGAGCCAGTTAGAGACTGAATTGGGAGGGAGGGAGGGAGCAAGCTAGCAAATGAATGATGTGGGCTTGAGGAAAGTACTGCCAGTTTGTATCGGAGGGGTGCTGACTGAGAACCCCAACAGAAGGACTGATGAAGGCCTGCCCCATTGGAATTGGCAGCTACGGATTGAGTAACATCAGTTTGCAAGATTTTCTGAGTTTATTCAGTAATAAGCCACAGACATTTCCCTAGAGAGAGGAAGGTTACTTGGTGTGTGCGGTAGAAGGATTGAGTTACAAGAGAATTAAGAATTTTGGTGAAGGAGTGGATTAGGTTGTCAACATAGAGAAAATGTGTTGTCAAAGGCCAGGCGCGGTGGCTCGCGCCTGTAATCCCAGCACTTTGGGAGGCCGAGGTGGGCCGAGCGTGAGGTCAGGAGATTGAGACCATCCTGGCTAACAAGGAGAAACCCCGTCTCTACGAAAAATACATAACCTTAGCTGGGCATGGTGGCACGTACCTGTAGTCCCAGCTACTTAGGAGGCTGAGGCAGGAGAATCGCTTGAACCTGGGGAGGCAGAGTGTGCAGTGAGCTGAGACTGTGCCACTGCACTCTAGCCTAGGCGACAGAGCGAGACTCTGTCTCAAAAAAAAAAAAAAAAAAAAAAGAGGAAAAGAAAAGAAAATGTGTTGTCAAGGGCCTGGAGATCTCTGAAATACAAAAGCAGGTGGAGTGTGAGTGCAGAGAGGCATGAAAGGGATGGGAAGATGTGAGCTTGTGGTCAGCAAATAGCTTCCTAGAGGTCAAGAGTTCTAACGTGGAACAGCTCTATGTGGTAACGATGCCCAGGCTGTGGGTGTAGGGGACTGAAATGCAGGGGAGGCAAAGGTCACTGGAGTTGAAGTCAAGAAGTAGTACTACAGTTCCCGGCTTGTGGTTTGGTTTTCCACACTGGTGGTCAAGGTACCCAGGATAGTGGCAGAATCAAGGGAGAGAAAGACTGAACAGGTAAATTTTTTTCTTCAGTACCAAACATTTTATGCTGTTTTTGTTGCATTTTCCCAGGGGACAGAGAATGAGGAGTAACTCAGCCAAGAAAGTTGGTTTTCTGCAAAGAAAGGCAGATAAAATGGTGCCCTTTTTCCTACCCAATCTTACATGTATTTCAGAGGATCCACACCAGGCATTGGTTTCCAGCAGTAAATTTGCAGCGATAAATGGCTTCCTTCTATTAGGTGTTCCCTTAGTTTATTCAGACTGCTATAACAAAATACCTTAGACTGAATAATTTATCAATAATAGAGATTTATTTCTCACAGTTGTAGAGGCTGGGAAGTCTAAGATTAAGGCACCAGCAGATTTTCTTGTCTCGTAAGGACTGGCTCTCTGTTGCTGTGTCCTCATGGTAGAAGGGCAAAGCAGATCCCTGCACAATTCTGTAAGGTCAAGCTTGAGAGTTGGAGCCAGTTTAAAAAAAGCAAACAAACAAACGAAAAAAACAACTTTTTTTTTGGCGGGGGCGGGGGGGCTTCTCGCTCTGTCACCCAGGCTGGAGTGCAGTGGCGCGATCTCGGCTCACTGCAGCTTCTGCCTCCTGGGTTTAAGCGATTCTCCTGCCTCAGCCTCCCAGGTAGCTTGGATTATAGGTGCCTGCCACCACGCCCAGCTAATTTTTGTATTTTTAGTAGAGACGGGTCTAACCATGTTGGCCAAGCTGGTCTTGAACTCTTGACCTCAAGTGATCCGCCCGCCTCAGCCTCCCAAAGTGCTGGGATTACAGGCGTGAGCCACCGCGCCCTGCCAAAAAAAACAACTTTTATAATGTCGCCAGTCCTCTAATCCCGTTCATGAGGGTTTGCCCTTATGACTTAGTCACCATCACCTCCTAAAGGTCTCACCTCTTAAACTATCACATTGGCAACTAAGTTTCAGCAAATGAATTTTGGGGGACACTTTCACACATGGCAGACTGTCCATTGCTGCTTTAACAGCTGTCTTGCTCTTCATCAGAAGCTGAGCTTTGAGTGATTCAAATATACATTCTTTTTTTCTCTATCTCCTAGTCCTAGTTTGTTACAAAGAAGGCTTCTCTCTCAGGTTTGGAAGAAATAAGTTAAATTTGATCTGCCCAAACCCATTAGTACAAGTGTTCAACAATAAGAAAAGGAATTACATAGAAGGAGTTTAGATTGGGGGGTGAATGAAGTAGGGCTCTTGGTTTCTTGGTTTCCTTTATTTCTTGTATAAATCCTTTTTTTCTTTTTTCTTTTTTTCCTTCAACTTTTAAGTTCAGGGGTACACATGCAGGATGTGCAGGTTTGTTACGTAGGTAAACGTCCCATGGTGGTTTGCTTTACAGATCATCCCATCACCTAGGTATTAAGCCCAGCATCCATTAGCTGTTCTTTCTAATGCTCTCCTTCCCGCAACCCTTCCCCTCCCACAGGCCCCAGTGTGTGTTGTTTTTCCCCTGTGTGAGAACATGTGGTGTTTGGTTTTCTTTTTCTTTTCTTTTCTATTTCTTTCTTTCCTTCTTTTTTGAGATGCAGTCTTTCTCTGTCACCCAGGCTGGAGTGCAGTGGCAGAGCTCGGCTCACTGCAACCTCCATCTCCCGGGTTCAAGCGATTCTTGTGCCTCAGCCTCCTGAGTAGCTGGGACTACAGGCACACACCACCACATCCAGCTAATTTTTGTATTTTCAGTAGAGACGGGGTTTCGCCATGTTGGCCAGGCTGGTATTGAACTCCTGACCTCAAGTGATCTGCCTGTCTCGGTCTCCCAAAGTGCTGGGATTACAGGCATGAGCCACCTCGCCTAGCCAGTGTTTAATTTTCTCTTCCTGCATTAGTTTGCTGGGGATAATGGCTTCCAACTCCATCCACATCCCTGCAAAGGACATGATCTCATTCCTTTTTATGGGTGCATAAATCCTATTTTTCTAAGAGTTGCTAATAGATAAGCTTTTTTCTAGGGAAGCAAATGTGGGAAACCAAACTTTCCAAAGTGAGAAATAGGATAATAGGGAGAGGAAAATATGAACAAATGAATGAGAAGTGTGTGGAAATGGATCAAAACAGATCTGAGTGATAAGGATTGGATTGTGGCTGATTGGGTAGCTAATTCACTGTTTAGAAAGTGGAAGTCATGTGGCAGTACACCTGGTTTGTTCCCCAGATTAGCTTGTTAGCTGATTAGTTTTGTTTACTTCTGCTCAAACTATCCTAGCCAGCCACCTCCTAAATTTATAATTTGAAGACATAAAGCAAGGACGTGAACTGATTTGTTCAAATCTGTATCTAAACTGGAGATACTCTGCTGAAAATATTTGCATAGATTTGAACAACTGTACTTACATGAAAAAATTTAAGGTATGTTTTAGTAATATTAAGACATTGAGGCCAGGCACAGTGGCTCACACCTGTAATCCCAGCACTTTGGGAGGCTGAGGTGGGCAGATCACTTGGGCCCAGGAGTTCAAGACCAGCCTGGGCAACATGGCATGGTGAAACACTGTATCTACAAAAAATACAAAAATTAGCTAGGTATATTGATGTGCACCTGTAGTCCCAGTTACTCAGGAGGCTGAGGTGGGAAGATTGCTTGAACCCAGGAGGCAGAGGTTGCAGTGGGATAAGATCATGCCATAGCACTTCAGCCTGGGTAACAAGAGTGAAACCCTGCCTCAAAAAAAAAAAAAAGAAAAAGAAAAAAAGGTATTGAGTGTTTTACTTAGCATAGCATAGCCTTCAAATCAGAAATGGAGTTTGCATTTAAAATGAATATTATTTTTGCCTATTTTGGTTTTTCCATAGGTACAATAACTTGCCTGAAATTCTATGGCAACAGGCATTTAATCAGTGGAGCGGAAGATGGACTCATCTGTATCTGGGATGCAAAGAAATGGGAATGCCTGAAGTCAATTAAAGCTCACAAGTGAGTCGGGCTCTTTCCCTTTGGCATTCTCGATGTGCCAGTCAAGTTGGGGACTAACTTTTGGTTTCATTATAGAGGACAGGTGACCTTCCTTTCTATTCACCCATCTGGCAAGTTGGCCCTGTCGGTTGGTACAGATAAAACTTTAAGGTAAGTCATTAATGCTCAAGAGCATTTATCTAAGGTGTGTGTTTTACTACAGCTCTCCACCATCTAAAAATACTGTTATACAAGGGAAAGGTCAAAAGCTGGTGAACCTTTTCATAGTGGTTCATAGTGGTAGAATGAAAATGACAAGCTCTGTTTTCTTTCTTTTTTTTTTGAGACAGAGTCTCGCTCTGTCTCCCTGCTCTGTCGCCCAGGCTGGAGTGCGGCGGCGTGATCTTGGCTCACTGCAAGCTCCGCCTCCCAGGTTCATGCCATTCTCCTGCCTCAGCCTCCCAAGTAGCTGGAACTACAGGCGCCCACCACCACGCCCGGCTATTTTTTGTATTTTTAGTAGAGACGGGGTTTCACCGTGTTAGCCAGGATGGTCTTGATCTCCTGACCTCATGATCCGCCCGCCTCAGCCTCCGAAAGTGCTGGGATTACAGGCGTGAGCCACCACGCCCAGCCAACAAGCTCCGTTTTCAAACATGCAATTATGCTGCAGTCATCATAGCTGTGAATTGAAGATTTTAGAAAGGGAAACCTTTTGAAAATACAATGGATACGAGATGTTAAAGGGATATGGGAATGAAGCAAGTCTTAATCCTGCCTCATAATATTTCAAAATATTGCTGTAAGGAAGATAGCAGGTCTTCTAAATAGCCAATATTTAGTAAAATGTCACTTAAGTCTTCATTATGCTTGTTCTTTTACGCTTAGTAAAAGTTAGTTGGTGATCACACCGTAAGTGAGCTTCCTGTTTTGCAGAACGTGGAATCTTGTAGAAGGAAGATCAGCATTCATAAAAAATATAAAACAAAGTGAGTATTTTTGTTTGAAATGCAGGTTGAGCATTCCTAATCTGGAAATCTGAAATGCTCCAAAATCTGAAACTTTTTGAGCACTGATGTGGTGCCTCAAGTAGAAAATTCAACACCTTACCTCATGATGGGTCACAGTCAGAACCTTGTTTCATACACAAAATTATTTAAAATATTGTGTAAAATTACCTTCCGGCTAGGTGTATATGAAGCATAGATGAATTTCATGTTTAGACTTGAAACATGAGTTGCATGGGTTTTATCCTCGAGATATTTCATTGTATATATGCAGATATTCCAAAATCCAAAATCGTTCTGGTCCCAAGCATTTTGGATAAGGGATACTCAACCTGTATATTTTACAGTGACTTAATGGAATATGAATATAGATATACATTTTTACATGTGTGTATGTTACACATTTATTTCCCTGCATGGTGGTGGTTACCTCTGAGCAAATGCCTTGGGTTACTTTCTTTTCCCATTTTAGACTAGATTCTTTTTGTGGCTCTGCCACCTGCCTTTGATTTTTATTTTGTTTCATTTTATTTTATTTTATATTTTTTATTTTATTTTATTTTTTGAGATGGAGTCTCGCTCTATCACCCAGGCTGGAGTGCAGTGGCGCTATCTCAGCTCCCTACAACCTCTGCCTTCTGAGTTCGTTATTCTCCTGCCTCACCCTCCCAAGCAGCTGGGATTACAGGCGCGTGCCACCATGCTTGGCTAATTTTTTGTATTTTTTGGTAGAGAGATGGGGTTTCACCATGTTTGCCAGGCTGGTCTCAAACTCCTGGCCTTAAGTGATCCACCCACCTTGGCCTCCCAAAGTGCTGGCATTACAGGTGTGAGCCACTGCACCTGGCCCACCTTTGACTTTTTGAACCTAGATTATTTTCTAAAAAACTTGACTTGTAAAATGTGTTACGAAGATGAAATAGGATAATGAATTTGAAAATGCACAGTATAAATATTTGCTATTTTTATTACTATGATCATTTTATGTTTTATTTACAAAATAAATAAACTTCGTTTTTTTCCACTTACAGATGCTCACATAGTAGAATGGTCCCCAAGAGGAGAGCAGTATGTAGTTATCATACAGAATAAAATAGACATCTATCAGCTTGACACTGCATCCATTAGTGGCACCATCACAAATGAAAAGAGAATTTCCTCTGTTAAATTTCTTTCAGTAAGTAATCAGAAATCATTGACCAAAGTTTGTGGTGATGGTTGGAACTGTTGATGACATTCTGGATGTTATTACTCTTTTTCCTCTCTCCTAGGAGTCTGTCCTTGCAGTGGCTGGAGATGAAGAAGTTATAAGGTTTTTTGACTGTGATTCACTAGTGTGCCTCTGCGAATTTAAAGCTCATGAAAACAGGTATTTTTACCAATCTTTGGTGTATATGTCTAGTCTTAATAAAAGGTATATATGCAGTAGTTTCATAAGCCAGGTTATATGTTTTTATTAACAACTGCAGAAATAATCAGACATATCTACATGTACAGTATATGGTATCTGTAGTCTAATAAGGTGGTGGAAGATGTTATCTTCCTGGCATTTAATAATGCAAAAGTGGGCCGGGAGCAGTAGCTCACGCCTGTAATCCCAACACTTTGGGAGGCTGAGGCGGGCGGATCAGGAGGTCAAGAGATCAAGACCATCCTGGCCAACATGGTGAAACCCCGTCTCTACTAAAAATAAAAAAATTGGTGTGGTGGTGCACGCTGGTAGTCCCAGTTACTCGAGAGGGTGAGGCAGGAGAATCACTTGAACCCTGGAGGCGGAGGTTGCAGTGAGCCAAGATCGCACCACTGCACTCCAACCTGGTGACAGAGTGAGACTCTGTCTCAAAAAAAATAATAATAATAATGCAAAAGTGGTGAAATTGTTTTCTGGACTGTCATTTACACAAGGTATTTTTTAAATGTCTGTTAGACTTGGAGCCTGAAATCAAGCATATTTGAACAAACAAAAGACTAAACAATCTTGAGCTTTGTTCCCATCTACTTTTGTCCTTTTACATAAGTCCCCTTGCCTACTTCTTCCCCCTTTCCATGTGATTTTTTTTCCTGCAGGAGAAGTGAATTGACGTTATTGAGTTCCTGTTTTGTGCCAGCTTTTATTACCTTTTAATGCTTTCTCTATTTCTAGGGGGTAGATAGTCTCAAAGTAAGTAGTTAAGTGGTTGGCCAATATTACCCCAATAGTGGAGCTGAGAGCTGAACCCGGTTTTATCTGACTCTTATATCCCTGCTTTCTCCAGTAATTTTGAAAAAGGTGATCTAATATACAGAGTTAGATTTTGATGTGATCCATTTGCATGTTCTATGTCTCAAATGAGTCTTAATTCTTATTTCTTAAACAGTGGTTAAGTTTTAAGAAATCCATACTTAGAGTACTGCAGTCAGTAGTATAAAGGCCTTACTCTTCTCCTATATTGGGAAGTGAATATATTTTTCAAAGTCGCCCATTCCAGATGTACTAATAACACTTAAGATATTTGGCCATTCATTCATTTAACAAGTATTCATTGAGCATCATTATGAAATACTACACGAAGTATTTAATGATGAACAGAAAAGACAGGAGCTTGTGCTCTCATGGCTCTTACATTATAAGGAGGCAATAGATTATAAGCAAGCAGATCATTATAACAGGATGGAAATAGAAAAGTAGAGTGATTAAAGATTAACAAGGGTAATTGGTTTAGATAGGATGATGAGGGAAGAAGATGTGAGACCTTAAGAATGAAAAAGGAGTTAGTTTTAAAAAGAGAGAGGCACAGGTGCAAAGACCCTGAGGGAGAACAGAGCTTGGTGTATTTTAGGAGCAGATAGAAGACCTGTGTGACTAGGTGAGAATGAGCAAGGAGAAGACGGTGGAAGCCAATCGGTGCCTGTAATCATCATAATTTTTCTTACTATGGAAAAATTTAAAAGCATTTAGACTGGTTTAAGGTGCTAACTCTTTAAGACCCACCATCAGCTTTAGCAACTGTCACTGTGTGGCCAGTTTTGCTTCATCTATATGCCCAGCCACTTCTTCCTCTCCCATCTTATTTTAAAGTAGATCCCAGTTTTGTAGGGTTTTAAGCCTGCAAGTTACATGATTTGATTTACATTTTTAAAAATTTCTGGCCAGGTGCAGTGGCTCATGCCTGTAATCCTGGCACTTTGGGAGGCTGAGGTAGGCAGATCACAAGGTCAGGAGTTTGAGACCAGCCTGACCAACATGGTGAAACCCCGTCTCTACTAAAAATACAAAAATTAGCCAGGTATGGTGGCGCACGCCTGTAATCCCAGCTACTCGGGAGGCTGAGGCAGGAGAATCGTTTGAACCCAGGAGGCGGAGGTTGTGGTTAGCTGAGATAGCCGAGATCCCACCACCGCACTCCAGCCTGGGCGATAGAGCAAGGCTCCATCTCAAAAAAAAAAAAAAGAAAAAGAAAGAAAAGAAAATTGTTAAGGGGCAAAAAAGAAGCAGAAAGGCCAATCAGGCTACTTCTGTGATCCAGAGGAAAAATGAGAGTGGCTTAGACTAACAGTGGTGGGACTGGAGATGAGGGAAATGGATGTGTGGGAGAGGCCTGGATTCATCGTTTCTGTTGTCTTTTCTCTCCTTACTGAACTTGGAGTTTCTTGAGGTGATGGGCTTTGTTTTACTCATCTTTAGTTCCTTTGTGATAACCTGATTATTTATAGTTATCTGTTTTCTTTTCAACTTTTCCTTCAGATATGGTTGGCAGTGGATTTTATCTTGTTTTTTGGGCCTGGATATATCTCATTAATGGGAATGCGAAGCATAGCTATATTTTAAGGCACCATTCATTGAGCAGTTTGGAAATACTTGAAACATTGAGAAAGCACTAGTCTTTGTGTGTAATTTTATAACAATATTAGACTATTTGGAGGAAAAGATCTTTTATGGTGTTAATATTTCTATCCTAGGGTAAAGGACATGTTCAGTTTTGAAATTCCAGAGCATCATGTTATTGTTTCAGCATCGAGTGATGGTTTCATCAAAATGTGGAAGCTTAAGCAGGATAAGGTCAGTGCTTCAACACAATCTAAATGTACTTTAATACAAGTCTTGCTCATAAGTGAGGTGGAATTTTTTTAAGGGTCATAAGACATAGGTCTTTAAACTTTTTAAATCTCTTCCAGGCATGATTGATATTAATGGTTTTAAAATTAGGGTTCCCAGGGAGCTGCCTTGATGGTTGTCATTTCTGAGTGTGAGCTGGTGGGATCCCAGAACTCGCGCTGCTCTTTTTAGTCAGAGAAGCTCTACTTTCCTCTCTTGAATATTGGAGTTCTCTGGAAGCTCTTAGGTAAAAATACTGCCATTGCTAAAAGTAATTTGGAAGCTCCTGATCAATTACAAAATTAACAAACCATTTAAACCAGACACTTTGGAAAATTGAATTCCCTCCTGTAGTCTCCTTACAGTCTCTCTTGGTTTATTCTTTGTTCTCTCATAAACACATTCTGTGAATATGGTTTGTTGAATGTCTCTTTCCAAGGTTCTTTGTTCAGCCCTGGAAATAAGACCTGATTCCTTTCTTTAGAATTTTCTTTTTTTTTTTTTTTTTTTAAGTATACAATTCAGTGATTTAATTTAGCATGTTCATGGAGTTGTACAATCATAATCGTAATTAATTTTAGAATATTTTCATCACACCAAAGAGAAGCTCCATACCCATTAGCAGTCACCCCCCATCCTCTCCTTTCCCCCCACTGCCAGTCCCTGGTAACTAGTAATCTGTTTTTTGTTTTTATGGATTTGCCTATTCTGGACATTTCATATATGGAATCACACAACGTTTGGCCTTTTGTGACGGGCGTTTTTCACTTCGTGTATGTTTCTAAGGTTCATCATGTTATAGCATATGTTAGTACTTCACTACTTTTTATGACTGAATACTACGCCGTTGTGTGGATATACCACTTTTTATGTATCCATTCATCAGGTGATAGACATTTGGATTGTTTCCACCTTTTGGATGTTATGAATAGTGCTTCTGTGAACATTCATATGCAAATTTTTGTGTGGATATATGTTTTTTTTTCTTTTTTTTTATACTTTAAGTTTTAGGGTGCATGTGTACAACGTGCAGGTTAGTTATATATGTATACATGTGCTATGTTGGTGTGCTGCACCCATTAACTTCGTCATTTAACATTAGGTGTATCTCCTGATGCTATTCCTCCCCCTGCCCCCCACCCCACAACAGGCCCTGGTGTGTGATGTTCCCCTTCCTGTGTCTGTGTGTTCTCATTGTTCAATTCCCACCTATGAGTGAGAACATGCAAAATTGGCTCTGTGAATAACAGTCAAACTAATCATGAGTGAAGATTATATGTTGCTTCTGAATATCATATTTTGTACTCAAGAAAATACAGGAAGTTTTAAATTAAGGTAACTTGATTATGGAAAAAGAAATTATTGAAAATGCACATTATGAATGTTTGTTTCTTCTGTTTAGAAAGTTCCCCCATCTTTACTCTGTGAAATAAACACTAATGCCAGGCTGACGTGTCTTGGAGTGTGGCTAGACAAAGTGGCAGACATGAAAGAAAGCCTTCCTCCAGCTGCAGAGCCTTCTCCTGGTAATCGAATTTGATTGTTTTGAAATTTTGAATAATCTATTATCTCTTAAATTGTAGAAGTGGAGGAGATCCAGATAATTTCACTTTATTGACAGCTTGTGTTTATTTCATTCAAAGGGGAAAACAGTCTTTTTTTAAAAGCACTCTCTTTTGTGTTTTAGTAAGTAAAGAACAGTCCAAAATTGGCAAAAAGGAGCCTGGTGACACAGTGCACAAAGAAGAAAAGCGGTCAAAACCTAACACAAAGAAACGCGGTTTAACAGGTGACAGTAAGAAAGCAACAAAAGAAAGTGGCCTGATATCAACCAAGAAGAGGAAAATGGTAGAAATGTTGGAAAAGAAGAGGAAAAAGAAGAAAATAAAAACAATGCAGTGAATCACAGATGTCTCCTGAAAGAACTCTTTTAGATGAAATCATTCTACTCAAATGTACCTTAATTTTTTTTTTTTCCCTGAGTAAAAGCAAGAAATTTCTTCCTTTGGAAAAAATATATATATTAAAAAACCACTTTTAGATGGTTTTTTTTAAAAAAAAAAAAAAAACTGGTAAAATTACTTTTGGCAGACAGTGTTTTATGAATTATGTATCATGTTGATATATAATATGTTAATGTGTCATGTAATTTTTACTTTGTACAAAGCAAATAAAGATCTTTCTCAAAATATACTGTAAAATAATATAAAATATTGAACACATTCTTTATCAGATTTGGATGAAGGAGTCATTATTCAAAATTTTCTCTTAAATGGGAAAGAATTTAAGAACTGCCTTTGGCTTCTTCAAATGGTAAGTAGTAATTTTAGATTTTCATACCAACCAGACAAACTTAAAAGATTATACATATATAATTATACATATCTATGAAACAAACATATGCTTAAGTGTAGGACCACGTACCTAAGATTATAGAGAGATTGCCAGACTTTAAACTACTTTGCTTCCAAGTAGTAGATGTACAAAATAATTTAAGGACGGGAAAATGATCTTTTCTTTTTTTCTTTTTTTTTTGAGACGGAGTCTTGCTCTGTTGCCCAGGCTGGAGTGCAGTGGCGCGATCTTAGCTCACTGCAACCTCCGTCTCCTGGGTTCAGGCTATTCTCCTGCCTCAGCCTCCCGAGTAGCTGGTAGCTTGAGCCAAGGAGTTTGAGACCAGCATGGGCAACATAGGGAGACTGTCTCTCCCAAAAAATTAGCTAGATGTGGTGACATGCTCCCAGCTACTCAAGAGGCGGAGGTGGGAAGGATGGCTTGAGCCCAGGATGTGGAAGTTACGGTGAGCTGCGACTGCACCACTATACTCCAGCCTGGACAACAGAGCCAGACCCTGTCTTAAAAAAAAGAAAGAAAGAAAAAGACATTATTGGGGATCCATAGGTTTGAATTAGCCAGGCAGATACTAGATACCTGAGACCATCAGGAGAATCACTTCTGATTAGGCAGAATAAGAACGGGCACTGGAATTGCCACTCCATAGGAATAAATTGTCTAGGAAATGAACCAAATTGTGTGCTTAATATCAGTCTACTCCTTTGTTAGCTTATTTCATAAGCTATTAGCATAAATGTAGGTCGTTGGCTTTTTTTTTTCTCAATTCAACTCAAAAATTTTGAGATCATTGTGAGAAATATACACTTGTAAGAAATAATACAGAGATTCCACCCGGTTTTCCCAATGATAACATCTTGCAAAACAAGGGCAATATCACAACCAAGCCAAGATAGGATAGAAATGATATAATCAAGATACAGAACATTTCTATCACAATGATCCCATCTGTTGTCATAAGCCATATTCAGTTTCCTCTTGTGCTCGTATAGCTATGCCCACCTTCATAACCTCTGGCACCAGCGGTCTGTTCTCCATCTCTAATTTTGCCAAAATTGATTGGATTATACTTTCTTTTGGGATTGGCTTTTCACTCAGCATAATCTCTGGGCATTGATCCAGCTTGTTGCATCAATAGTTCTGTTTTTAGTACTGAGTGGGATGTCAGTATAGATGTACCATAGTAAACACCTGTGGAAGGACGTCAGGAATGTTTCCTGTTATTAGGTATCTAAATAAAGTTGCTGTAAACATTTGTGTACAGGTTTTTATGTGAACTAGAGTCTTCATTTCTCTTGGATAAATGCCCAGGAATTCCAAAGTTTTCCAGAATAGCTGTATGGTTTTACATTTCTACCAGTAATGTTTGAGTGATACAGTTTCTCTGCATCTTTCCAGCATTTGATGTTAGTCTTAGCCATTCTGGTAAGAGTGTAGTGATACCTTATTGCGGTTATAACTTACATTACTCTGATAGCTAATGATGTTAATCATCTTTCCATGTGCTTATTTGCCATCTGTGTATCATAATTGGTGAAAAGTCTTTTGCCCATGTTCACATTATATATTTTTTCTTTTTTGCTGTTGAATTTTGAGAGTTTTTTGTTTTTGTTTTTTTTTGAAACGGAGTCTTACTCTGTCACCCACCCAGGCTGGAGTGCAGTGGCGTGATCTCGGCTCACTGCAACCTCCACCTCCCAGGTTCAAGCGATTCTCCTGCCCCAGCCTCTTGAGTAACTGGGATTACAGGTGCGTGCCACCATACCCAGCTAATTTTTGTATTTTTAGTAGAGGTGGGGTTTTACCATGTTAGCCAGCCTGGTCTCGAACTCCTGATCTTTAGTGATCCACCCGCCTCGGCCTCCCAAAGTACAGGGATTACAGGCGTGAGCCACCGCACCTGGCCAAGAGTTCTTTTATATATTGTAGAAACTCAGCCTTTCTCAGATAATGTGGTTTGCAAATATTTTTGCCTAGTCTGTAGCTTGTGTTTTTGTCCTAACAGCCTTTTGCAGAGCTCAAGTTTTTTATTTTGTTGAAATCCAGTTCATCAATTTTTCCTTCCATGGATCATGCTTTTGGTGTGAAGTCCAAGACCTTTGTCTAGCCTTAGATCCTGAAGAGGTTCTATATATTTTTTAAAGGTTTTGTAGAGTTTTACATTTTACATTTAGTATGTGATCCATTTTGAGTGTATAAAGTGTGAGGTTTAATTCCAAGTTTATTTTCTTGCCTATGGATATCGACTTGCTCTAGCGCCTTGTTGAAAAGACTGTTCTTCCTCTATTGAAATACTTTTGCATCTTTGCCAGAATTCAATTGAGCATATTAGTGTGGGTCTATTACTGGGCTCTCTATTGTGTTCTATTGATCTCTGTTGATATTTTTGCTGGAACCACATGGTCTTGATTACTGCAGCTATATAATAAGCCTTGAATTTGAGTAGAATGATTCTCCCCCTTTTCTGTTTTTCAAAATTATTTTCACTATTCTAGTTCCTTTGCCTTTCCATATAGAATTTAGGATAATTCTATCCTTCTCTACAAAAAAAAAATGTACAGTCATGTCAATAATGACAGGAATACATTCTGAGAAATTCCTCATTAGGTGATTTCATTTTGTGTGAATATCACAGGGTGTACTTACACAAACCTGGATGGTAGAGCCTGCTGCACACCAAGGCCATACGGTATAGTCATAATCTTATGGGACCACCATTGTATATGTGATCCGTTATTGACCAAACCATTATTGACCAAAATGTCATTACGCAGCACATGGCTGTATAGATCTTTGATTTTTTTATTATTTTATTTTTATTTTTTTAGACAGTTTTGCTCTTGTCACCCAGGCTGGAGTGCAATTTTGCGACCTCAGCTCACTGCAACTACTGCCTCCTGGATTCACGCAATTCTCCTGCCTCAGCCTCCCGAGTAGCTGGGATTACAGGCACACACCACCACGCCCGGCTAATTTTTTTATTTATAGAAGAGACAGGGTTTCGCCATGTTGGCCAGGCTGGTCTCAAACTCCTGACCTCAGGTGATCCGCCCGCCTTGGCCTCCCAAAGTGCTGGGATTACAGGCCTTAGCTACTGCGCCCAGCCAGATCTTTGATTTCTTTTATCAGTGTTGTGTAGTTTTCAGCATACAAATCTTGCACGTGTTAGATTTATTTGTAAGTATTTGGGGTGGGGGAATTACAAGTAATTTTTTTTTTTTTTTTTTTTTTTTTTGAGATGGAGTCTTGCACTGGTGCCTGGGCTGGAGTGCAGTGACGCCATCTCGGCTGACCGCAACCTCTGCCTCCTTGGGTTCAAGCGATTCTCCTGCCTCAGCCTCCCAAGTAGCTGGGATTACAGGTGCCTGCCACCATGCCCGGCAAATTTTTTTGTACTTTTAGTAGAGATGGGGTTTCACTATATTGGCTAGGCTGGTCTCAAACTCCTGACCTCGTGATCTGCCCACTTTGGCCTCCCAAAGTGTTGGGATTACAGGCATGAGCCACTGCACCTGGCCTACAAGTGATATTTTTAATTTTGGTGCCCATATTCATTGCTAATACATAGAAATACAGTTTATTTTTGTGTGATCTTACATCCTGCTATCTTGCTGAATTCATTTATTCTAGGAGTTGTTTTGTTGGGGGTTTCTATGTAGACAATTATGTTATCTGCAAATATAAATAGTGTTATTTCTATCTGTATTTTTCCCCATTTTCTTGCCTTATTAACTGACTAGAAGATGCAGCACTGTGTTGAATAACAATAGTGAGAACAGACATCTTTGCCTTGTTATGATCTTAGGGGAAAAATATTCAGTCTTTCACTGTTAAGTATAATGCCAGCTGTAGGGTTTTCGTAGATATTCTTTGTCAAGTTGAAGAAAGGTCAACTTGACATCCCCTGTTTCATTCCTGATATTGGTAATTTGTGTCCTCTCTGTTTTCTTTGTCAGTCTTCCTAGAGCTTTGTCAGTTTTATTATCTTTTCAAAGAACCAGTTCTGCCAGGCACGGTGGCTCATGCCTGTAATCCCAGCACTTTGGGAGGCCGAGGTGGGCAGATCACCTAAGGTCAGACGTTCAAGACCAACCTGGAAAACCTGGTGAAATCCTGTCTCTACTAAAAATATAAAAATTAGCCGGGCATTGTGGCAGGCGCCTGTAATCCCAGCTACTAGGGGGGCTGAGCCAGGAGAATCGCTCAAACCCGAGAGGCGGAGGTTGCGGTGAGCCGAGACTGTGCCACTGCACTCCAGCCTGGGCAACAGAGAGAAACTGTGTCTCAAAAACAAAACAAAACAAAGAATCAGTTCTTTGTTTCATTGACTCCTTCTGTTTTCAATTTCATTTTCTGCTCTCATCCTTATTTCCTTCTTTCCTTCTGCTTGCTTTGGGGTTTCTTTTGCTCTTCTTTTTCTATTTTCTTTTTGGTTTGTTTTAGGATTTTTTAGAGACATGGTCTTGCTATGTTGCTCAGGCTGGCCTTTAACTCCTGGGCTAAAGCCATCCTCCCACCTTGGCCTCCGGAGTTGCTGGGACTACAGGTGTGAGCCACCACACCTGGCTTTTTTACTAGGTTCTTGAGGCAGGAGCTTATATTATGTGAGTTTTTCCCTCATTTCAAATGTGTGCTCTTAAGGTTTTTAGCACTGCTTTTGCTACATGCCACTGTTTTTGTATGTAGTAGTGTATCTATCTATTTAAAAGAGACAGGGTTGTGTTATGGTTGCTGAGGCTGGTCTCAAACTTCTGGCCTCAAACAATCTTCTGGCCCCAGCCTCCCAAGTAGCAAACACAGTTTGGTTTTTTGTAATACTTTGAGACATAATTCATACAACATACTATTCACCCATCGAAAGCATACAATTCAATGTTTTTCAGTCTATTCACAGAGTGCAACTATCACAAAAATCAATATTAGGACATTTTAATCACTCCAAGAAGAAACCTTGGACCCCTTAGCTGTCATTCCCCATTTCTCCCTCCCAAACACCCCTAGGTGTATGCAACCACTGATCTGTCTTCCGTATGTGTAGGATTTGCCTAGTCTAGACATTTCATAGAAATGGAATCATTCCATTTGGGGTCTTTTGTGATTTCACTTCACATATTGTTCCAGGGTTCATCCATATTGGTTTTTTGTTGTTGTTGTTGTTTTAGATGGAGTTTCGCTCTTGTTGCCCAGGCTGGAGTGCAATGGTGCGGTCTCGGCTCACTGCAACCTCTACCTCCTGGGTTCAAGCGATTCTCCTGCCTCAGCCTCCCAAGTAGCTGGGATTACAGGCACCCGCCACCATGCCCAGCTAATTTTTGTAGTTTTAGTAGAGACGGGGTTTCGCCATGTTGGCCAGGCTGGTCTCAAACTCCTGACCTCAGGTAATCCGCCTGCCTCGGCCTCCCAAAGTGCTGGGATGACAGGTGTGAGCCACTGTGCCTGGCAAGGGTTTATTCATATTGTAACATATATCAGTATTTCATTTCTTTTTATTGCCAAATAATATTTCATTGCATGGATATAACACAGTTTGTTCATTCTATAGCTGATGCATATTTGTTTCTTCTTGGCTAGTAAGAATAATGTTGCTTTGAACATTCATTTACAAGTTTTTGCATGAACATATGTTTTCATTTTTCTTGGGTACATATATACCTAGAAGTAAAATTGCGGAATCAGATGGTTACTCTTATGTTCAACCTTTTGAGGGACTGCCATACTGTCCTAAAGCGATCACACCCTTTATATTTCCACCACCAGTGTGTGAGTGTTCCAATTTTGCCACACCTTTGCTGACACCTGGTTTTTTGTTTTTATTATAGCCATTCCAGTGGGTGGGGCTTAGTAGCTCATTGTGATTTTGATTTGCATTTCCTGATGGCTAATGATGGTGAGCCTCTTTTATCTTTTTTGAAAAAATGTTTATTACTCCTGACCTCAGGTGATCCACCCGCCTCAGCCTCCCAAAGTGCTAGGATTACAGGCGTGAGCCACCGCGCCCGGCCCTGGATTCACAATTCTAATCCATTGATTTATATGCCCATCCTTATAATAGTACAATACAGTCTTGATTACTATAGGTTTGTAGTAAGTTTTGAAATAAGGAAAGGTGAGTCTTGCAACTTTATTCTTTTTGAAGATTATTTTGGCTGTACTGTGTCCCTTGAATTTTTAATGAATTTTAATATCAGTTTATCAATTTCTGCAGAGTCCAGCTTGAATTTGACAGGAATTGCATTGAATCTGTAGATCAATTTGAGGAATATTATAACCTGAAAAATTTGAAATCCTCCAATCCACAAACAAAGGATATCCTTTTATTTATTTAGGTATTCTTTCATTTCTTTCCACAGTGTTTTTTAGTTTTCAGTTTATAAATTTTGTATTTATTTTATTAAATTTATTTCTGAGGGTTTTATTCCTTTTGATGCTATTGTAAATTGAATTGTTAATTTCACTTTTGGTTTATTCATTGCTACTAATGCTATATATTTTAATGTGTTGTATTTTCATTTTATTCAGGATAATGCACTTTTCTTGGCGGCAGGGGAGGGGGCAAGGTCACCCAGGCTGGAGTGCAATGGCGTGATCTTGGCTCACTGCAGCCTTGGCCTCCTAGAGACAGGCAATTCTCCCACCTCATCCTCCTGAATGGCTGGGACTAGAGGCACATACCAACACGCCTGGCTTTTTTGTGTCTTATAAAGACAGGGTTTTACCACGTTGGCCAGGCTGCTCTTAAACTCCCGGACTCAAGCGATCCTACCACCTTGGCCTCCCAAAGTTCTGGGATTACAGGCATGAGCCACCACACCTACCTAGCCTTAATTTAATTTCTAGATTTTTAATTTTTAGAGCCACCATGCCTAGCCTTAATTTAATTTCTGGATTTTTCTCTTTGACCGACAGATTATTTTAAAATGTTTAGTTTCCAAGTGTTTGGAGATTTTCTTATCTTTCTGTTACTGATTTCTAATTTGATTCCATTGTTGTTGGAGAACACATTCTGTATGATTTCAATTCTTTTAAATTAGTTGAGATTTGTTTTATGGCCCAGGATATGATCTCTCCTGATAGATGTTCTGTGGACACTTGAATATGTATCTTGCAGTTGTTGGGTGGAGCACTCTATAAATGTATATTAGATCCTGTTAGTTGATGATGTTATTGGGGTTTTTCTATATCCTTCCTGACTTCTGGTCTACTGCTTTTATCATCATTTAGAGGGATTGAAGCATCCAACTATAACTCTGGATTTGTCCATTTCTTATTTCAATTCCTTCAGTTTTTGTTTCACATCTTTTGCAGCTCTATTGTTAGGTACATATACATTTAGGATTTCTGTTTTCTTGGTGGATTGACTCTTAAATCTTTATACAATGTCACTGTCTCTGGTCATTTTCTTTGCTCTGAAATCTATCTGATAGTAATGTAGCTACTTCTGATTTCTTTTGTTTGCATGATATATTTTTTCCGTCTTTTATTGCAACTTGCCTGTATCCTTATGTTTGAAGTGAATTTTTTGTATGCAGCATATAGTTGTGTCATATTTCTTAATCCATTCTGTCTTTTAATTGATGTATTTAGACTGTTTACATTTAATGTCATTAATGTTTTAAGACTTAAGTTGGCCATTTTTTTGTTTTGCTGTTTGTGCTGTTTTTGTTTTCTTTTTCCTACTTTCCTATGAGTTATATAAACATTATTTAAAATGCTGCTTTTCTTTCTTTACACTGTTTGTTCGTTTCTTTGTTTTTGAGAGAGTCTTGCTCTGTTGCCCAGGCTGGAGTGCAATGGCGCAATCTTGGCTCATGGCAACCTCCGCCTCCTAGGTTCAAGCAATTCTCCTGCCTCAGCCTCCAGAGTACCTTGGATTACAGGGGTGTGCCACCACGCCTGGCTAATTTTTGTATTTCAGACCTTACTTTAAATCATAGCTGTACCACTGACAAAGACCGTAGATAATACAATTCTCTGAGGTTGAGTTTCTTCAAGTATAAGGTGAGGGGGAGAGTGCGGGAATCATGGTGGATGATCCTAATTAAGGTTTGAGGCTTGCGCCTGCATAGGGAAGAATGAGCCCCTAAAGCCGTTCCTGCAGGTTAAGACAAGTCTCCCTATTAATTGTTCAGGAAGGTCTTCAATTAAATTGAAGGTCTGGCATACTGCAATTCCTGCAAGTTCTTAGTCATTATCAGCGTTGGCTGGTTAGAATCAGCTGTGATAAACAAGGGCTTCAATTTTGCTATCTGCAAGGTAGGTGCTGCCACAAGTGGAAAGTTTGTCTTTAAGAATATACGCCGCGACCGGGCATGGTGGCTCACACCTGTAATCCCGACACTTGTGGGAGGCCCAGGCAGGCAGATTGCTTGAGGCTGGGAGTGTGGGACCAGCCTGGCCAACATGGTGAACCACTGTCTCTACTAAAAACACAAAAAATAGCCAGGCATGGTGCCACACATCTGTAATCTCAGCCGCTCAGGAGGCTGAGCAGGAAAATCACTTGAACCTGAGAGGCAAAGGTTGCAGTGAGCTGAGATCATGCCACTGCACTCCAGCCTGGGCAACTGTTAGAAATGCTTGTTCCCCAGCACCACAAAATAGCACTCAAACATAAATTTAATTCTCTCAGCAAGGCCATTTTCACTTCCTGCAGAAAGGGTGCTTCTCACAGATGGAACAACGGCAATAGCACACTTGAACAAAGGAAAAGCAGAGGGTTTACACATTTGGGTCCTCCTTACTGCTGTGTCCTGCATGCATTGACTGGTGCTGGACCTCGGTCTTAAATTTCCAATTTGCTAACAACCTGAAACTTTCCTAAATAGTTAGGTGCAAGGGAGGATAAAGGAGACTAAGTTGCTTATGAAAGGTTTAAGGAAATAATAACATTTCCAAATAAGGAAGGGGCATAAAATATGAGCTGAGACTTGCTTGGGCCTGTCCAGACATGCCTGAATAAGCCAAAGCAACTAACTGGGCTAAATCGTAAGAACTAACAGTTGATAGCAGGCTTTGGAGTAAGATGTGATTATTCCTGGTGTCTATTTTTAAACCAAGACAAGGTTTGAAGAGAAGCTTTTCTACTTTCTACAACAGCAAAACTCCATCTCAAAAAAAAAAAAAAAAGCAAAAACCATGCTACAAAGGCCAGCAAAGCAGCTCATGCCTCTAATCCCAGCACTTTGGGAGACTGAGGTGGGCAGATGAGATTAAGAGTTTGAGACCAGCTGGGCCAACATGGTGAAACCCCATTGTGTCTGGACTTTGTGGGTTCGTCTTGCTGACTTCAAGAATAAAGCCACAGACCCTCATGATTGAATGTTACAACTGTTAAAGATGGTGGGTCCAAAGTTTGTTCCTTCCGACATTCAGACATTATCTAGTTTCTTCCTACTGGTGGGTTCACGGTCTCACTGATTTCAGGAATGAAGCTGCAGGCCTTTGCAGTGAGTGTTACACCTCTTAGAGGTGGCACATCTGCAGTTACTTGTTCTTTCTGGTGGGTTTGTGCTCTCTGCTAGCCTCAGCAATAAAACCACCAACCTCTGCAGTCAGTGCTACAGTTCATAAAGGTGGCACATCCAGTTTTTCATCTGCTTTCAGTGGGTTTGTGGTCTCACTAGCTTCAGAAGCAAAACTGTAGCCTTATCACGGTGAGTATTAAAACTCATAAACATTGCACGGATCTAAAGAACTATCAGCACCAACATTTATTGCAAAAAGCAAAAGAACAAAGCTCTGTCAGCCCAAGAAAACACCCAAGCACGTTTCCCCTACTGGCTGTGGGTGGCCAGTTTTTATTCCCTAATCTGGCCACACCCACATCCAGCTGATTGGTCCATTTTACAGAGTGCCGATTGGTGCATTTGCAAACCTTTAGCTAGACACAGAGTGCTGATTGGTGCGTTTACAATCCTTTGGCTAGATACAAAAGTTCTCCAAGTCCTGACCAGATTAGCTAGACACAGAGCGCTGATTGGTGCGTTTACAAACCTTTAGCTAGACAAAAAACTGCTGACTGGTGCATTTACAATCCTTTAGCTAGACACAAAAGTTTTCCAAGTCCCCACCCGTCCCAGAAGCCCAGCGGGCTTCACCTCTCGCTGGGAGTTGGGTGGGACTTTTTGGCAACTAGCCTGGGCACTCCGGGAGCTCCTCCCACACAACCAAGAGGAAAAGAGGAGGAGAGAGACAGAGACCCGCCATCGTGGCCAACGACCCCGCCAAGAGGGAACGGCGGTCCACGCACTGGACCCAGCCTCCGATCAAGCCCAGCAGGGGCCGGCAGGTCGCGCCAAGTGCGGGGCCCACCGAGCCTGCGCCCACCTGGAACCCGGGGCAGCGCAGCCCCAGTCCCCGCCTGCGCCTCTCCCTCCACGCCTCCCCACGAGCAGATGGAGCCGGCTCCGGTCTCGGCCAGCCCCAGGGAGGGCCCCGCACAGCGCAGCGGCGGGCTGAAGGGCTCCTCGAGCCTGGCCGATGCTAAGGAGGCACCGAGAGCAAGCGAAGGCTGCTAGTGAGAGGTGACGACGTGCTGGCAGTCCTCAGAGCCCTCGCTCTCGGCGCCTCCTCTTCCTGGGCTCCCACTTTGGAGGCACTTGAGCCCTTTAGCCCACCGCTGCACTGTGGGAACCCCTTTCTGGGCTGGCCAAGGCCAGAGCTGGCTCCCTCAGCTTGCAGGGAGGTGTGGAGGAAGAGGCGCGAGCGGAAACCAGGGCTGCGCGCGGCGCTTCCGCGCCAGTTGGAGTTCCGGGTGGGCGTGGGCTTGGCGGGCCCCGCACTCGGAGCAGCCGGCCGGCCGGCCCTGGGCAATGAGGGGCTTGGCACCCAGGCCAGCGGCTGCAGAGGGTGTACTGGGTCCCCCAGCAGTGCCAGCCCACCGGCGCTGCGTTGGATTTCTCGCGGGGCCTTAGCTGCCTTCCGACGGGGCAGGGCTCGGAACCTGCAGCCCGCCATGCCTGAGCCTCCCACCACCTCCGTGGGCTCCTGTAGGGCCCGAGCCTCCCTGATGAGCACCACCCCCTGCTCCACAGGGCCCAGTCCCATCAACCACCCAAGAGCTGAGAAGTGTGGGCGCAGGGCGCAGGACTGGAAGGCAGCTCCACCTGCAGCCCTGGTGTGGGATCCACTGGGTGAAGCCAGCTGGGTTAAGTCTGGTGGGGAGGTGGAGAACCTTTATGTTTAGCTCAGGGATTGTAAATACACCAATTGGCACTCTATATCTAGCTCAAGGTTTGTAAACACACCAATCAGCCCCCTGTGTCTGGCTCAGGGTTTGTGAATGCACCAATGGACACTGTATCTAGCTACTCTGGTGGGGACCGTGGAGAACCTTTATGTCTAGCTTAGGGATTGTAAATACACCAATCGGCACTCTGTATCTAGCTCAAGGTTTGTAAACACACCAGTCAGCACCGTGTGTCTAGCTCAGGGTTTGTGAATGCACCAATCCACACTCTGTATCTAGCTACTCTGGCAGGACCTTGGAGAACCTTTGTGTGGACACTCTATAGCTAATCTGGTGGGGACGTGGAGAACTTTTGTATCTAGCTCAGGGATTGTAAACGCACCAATCAGCACCCTGTCAAAACAGACCACTCGGCTCTACCAATCAGCAGGATGTGGGTGGGGCCAGATAAGAGAATAAAAGCAGGCTGCCCAAGCCAGTAGTTGTAACGCACTTGGGTTTTCTTCTATGTGGAGGAGGCTTTGTTCTTTCTCTTTTTCTTTTTGCAACAAATATTGCTGTTGCTCGGTGCTTAGGTCCTGTGTTGTCTTTACAAGTGGTAACGCTCACTGCGAAGATTTGCAGTTTTGCTCCCAAAGCTACGAAGACCACGATCCCACCGGAAAGAACAAACATATTCCAGACGCACTGCCTTAAGAGCTTTAACATTCGTTATAGAAGTCTGTAGCTTTGCTCCTTGAGCCAGTCCAAAGCTAGGGAGACCACGATCCCACCGGGAAGAACAAACAATTCCAGACACACTGCCTTAAGAGCTTTAACATCCACCACAGAGGTCTGTAGCTTTGCTCGTTGAGCCAGTGAGACAGCAAACCCACCAGCAGAAAAACTCCCTGAATACTTCTAAACATCGGAAGAAAAACTCTAGAGACACTGCTTTTAAGAACTAACACTCATCGCGAGGGTCTGCAGCTTTCTCAAGTCAGACCAAGAAGCCATCAATTTTGAACACACTGGCACGTTGTGATCTCTCACTATCTCCACTAAAAATAACAAAAATTAGCCTGGCAGCCAGGGGTGGTGGTACAGGCCTATAATCCCAGCTACTCAGGCAGCTGAGGCAGGAGAATCAGTTGAACATGGGAGTCAGAGGTAGTGGTGAGACAAGATCATACGCTGCACTCCAGCCTGGGCAATAGAGTGAGACTCCACATAAAAAAAAAAAAAACTTGGCTGGAATTCGCTTTATTCACTGACAATTATATTGGTCAGATTTGTGTATGTTGATACTTGTAGGGGATGGAGAGGGAGAAGTCAACGATGACAGCAAATTTTAGTGTAGAGCAACTAAGAGAATGGTGGTGCAGGAAACGGAATAGGAGTGACTCCAAGTGGGAATGGAGATAATATGCTGTGGATATTTTGGGTCCACAGAGCTGGGTAAAAATCAGGTTTAACTTACTCCCCATCCCCCTTTAAGATGCTTCTCAAGCAGCCTCACTCCCTAAAACAAACGGATATTTGGCTTTGAGCCACATTATTCTGCAGCCCCCGTATTTTCTTCCAGGCAGGCCCTTCCTGGTGTAGACAAGATCGGGCTTGAGTGACACTCCTCCCTGATGGCCTGCATCTGGTTTATACCCTGTAACTTGTTCCTCTATTAATGGGGTCCTTCAAAATCCAGCCTCAGATTCCCTGGTCCCGCAGCGGTGGCCTCACCTCTGGCGTGGCCGAGCTCACGTGGTCCGGCTTGTGCAAGTCCCAGGTCCAACTCCGGGTCTCCTGCTTTTGGCCACTCAGGATTGGACCTGGGACTGATACTGGTCGGCCCTGCAGGCGCTGCGGACAGGGGAAGCACAGAGATTCCCCGCCGCGTTCCCTGGACTCAGGAGCTCGCCGCGATGCCCCGCCCCACTCTCCACCCGCTGAATGCAGGGCGCATGCTGCTACTTGGCGGCTCAAGCCCCGCCCGCACCGTCCCCATTCTCTGACCGCCCCTCTCCCGGTACACTGCGCAGGCACAACAGAGCCGCTCCCCTCTCCTCGCCCCGCCACCGGGACGGAGAGCGCCCGCCGCTGCATTTCCGGCGACACCTCGCAGTCATTCCTGCGGCTTGCGCGCCCTTGTAGACAGCCGGGGCCTTCGTGAGACCGGTGCGAGTATTTGGGGATTATTCTTATTTTCTGCCACTTTTAACTTTTAGGGATTATTTAGGAGTTTCACGGCCGTCTGCTTTTCGTCCCCCCGATTCAGCGGGCCTTCAGGCCGTGTGGTCGGTGCTTTTCTCGTTGGGTATTTTCTGCTTTTAAAAGAAGTTGTGGATGCGCGGAGCCCCTGGGCTCCTGAGGCAAAGGCTTACCCATGTAGCATAGTGTTGCCTCGTTTCTTGGTGATTTTCTTGCTCCATCTCTTTAAAAGCCTCCCTTACTCGGTGCCGTCTCGAGTTAAGAACTGTGGGCAAGATCCCAAGCCCGCTGCCCTTCCCTGTTTTATGGAAACTTAATTCTTTTTTTTTTTTTTTTTGTCCTTGAGGGAGGGACTTGCTCTGTCGCCCATGCTTGAGTGCAGTTGCCTGAATATGTCTCATTGCAGCCTCTGCCTCCTGGGCTCAAGCCATCCTCCCACTTCAGCCTCCCAAGTAGCTGGGATTTACAGTCGCATATCACCATGCGCGATTAATTTTTTTATATTTTTTAGTAGACAATGGGTTTCACTATGTTGGCCAGGCTGGTCTTGAACTCCTAACCCCAGGTGATCCGCCCGCCTCGGCCTCCTAAAGTACTGGGATGACAGGCGTCAGCCACTGCGCTTGGCCTAATTCTTTAAACAGAATAAACGGGGTATGCATTGCTTTCATCTTTTGGCTCACTGGACACAGGATACTTTCTGTAAGAAAATAGAAGCTGTTTTTCCAAGGGTGTAGTGTCACATGTGAATATGACCACTGTTTCCGTATATTTTATCCTCTCCTACTACTGCCCTCCTAACAAGAACTGTGAGTTGGACGCAGAAGTTTCTAAAAAAGTTGAGCTTTGAAATTGGCTGTTGCAGCAGGGATGAAAAGCAACACCCCTACCTCCCCTCAAAAGAGACATTAAAGTAGTTGGATTAAGGGCACGGGAGTATTTGCTTTTGAATTTAGTGATAACATGGGTAGCTGATGAAATGACTAACACATTCCCTGATTTTAGAGCTGGTCAGTGGATCTTGCTGAGTTTCCCGTGGGCCTATGTGATTAAAACTGAGGTTTTCATGACAATGGTCAGCATCTGTTCAGGGTTTACTAGGTGCTAAGCACCTTTACATGTGACATCCATTGAATGCTCACTACAGCCCCAGGAAATCGGTACCAGTGTTATCCTCATGGTACAGTGAAGAATACTGAGACTTAGGTTGCGTAGCTTGCAGGTTGGACACACTTCTTTCTGACTGCTGGAGAGCTGTGCTTTTAACTACCTCTGATCCAGCTTGTTTTCTGCAGGTGCAGGCCTGGGGTAGTCTCCTGTCTGGACAGAGAAGAGAAAAATGCAGGACACTGGCTCAGTGTGAGTGCAGTAAATGGGTATGGAGTAGCCAGGAGCTTCTGGAAACCAGAGTTCCTTTCCTTAGCTGAAAAGAACCTTAAGAGTAGACTGCCTGGGATGGCATGGGGGATGGGAGGATCACTGGACCTGTGGGCCAGAAACTTGGGTTTGAGTCCCAGCTCTGGCTTTGCTGAGTTGTGTGACTCTCAGAAAGTCATCCAACCTCTGTGGTCCTTATTTTCAGTGATAGGACCTGTGGGGAATGATTACCTTTTAGTCCCATCCTATGACAGTATGGTTTGTTTTCAAAGCCAGGTTAGCACTGACTTCTCCCTCTTGTGTTTTCAGAGTGCCTTTGCATTGGTTTGGCTTTGGCTACGCAGCACTGGTTGCTTCTGGTGGGATCATTGGCTATGTAAAAGCAGGTAGGGTTTTGTTGTTACTTAGCCTCTTAACATCTTCACGTTGTCCCAGTGAAATGTGAATGCCCGTGTCCCTGAGAAGCAATCTCATTTGAGTCAGGTTTGCTGTGGGTCCCCAAGCTGGAGTGCAGGCTTCCTTGTCAGTCTTGCAGCTCCTGCCCTTGCCCTTTGGTTATCTGGTGAAGCTGAGCCAGGCCTCTTTTGGAATTACTTGTTTTTGCCTCTTTATCTACAGATAGGCAGGGGCGGTTGTAGTTTGTTATTATCGTTGACTGCCATTCATCAGCCACGACCCCCAAGTGCCATCTCTGGGCTCAAGTAGGAGGAAACCTCTGGCCTACACAGACTGGTATTTTGAACTCTCCTCGTTAGGCCAGGCAGGGGTGTGTCAGTGGCTGTGCTTGTGTTTGCCCCCTAGTCCTTGCCTGCATTCCCACCCCAACCCCTGCACCAGAATTCTTCTTCTCCAGGTCTTTGTATTTTTTTAATTGACTGGCCTTATCTCCTTCTCCTTTTGTGATTTGCTGGAGGTCCTGCCTGTACACAATTCCAGTCCTTCATGGTTGATCAGGCCTGATTAGAAAGAAGGCCTAGCCACAGTTCCATCTAAGGAGGGAAGATGGCCTTCTTTCCTTTCCTTAGATGGAAGTGCCCTGCCTATTAGAGGAGAGAAAAATGGGGTGGGAAGACCCTGACTTCTCTGAGAAGATAGCACACTCTCTGTAACGTCTTCCTGCTTGAGTCCACCTTGGCTATGAGCTGTGTTGAGAGTTCTCTGTGCTGTCCTCCTTTGTAGGGCAGCGGTCTGGGGGATTCCGTTAGTGAAATAAGTGCCTGACATTACAATGCAAGCTGTGTTTGCTTCCCTCTAGGCAGCGTGCCGTCCCTGGCTGCAGGGCTGCTCTTTGGCAGTCTAGCCGGCCTGGGTGCTTACCAGCTGTCTCAGGATCCAAGGAACGTTTGGGTTTTCCTAGGTATGTCTGCTTTGGCGTCTCCTTAGGGCAGCTATGTATCCAGAATACTCTTTTCCAAAAGACCCTGGTTTGGTGGGATGGGGTGAGTTCTTCACACTTCACTTACGACAATTTCACTGCTTCTACCAAGTCCTCAGAAAGTTTTAAAATGAGGGTGCAGAGGCAGGAATTATGCTGGTTTCTGTTTATCTTTTACATACAGAACATGGAAGGATTTTCATAGCTCGTGACTATATTTACCCAGTAGCATTAAAATTCTATCAGGCAAATGTATCAACCGTTGAGGTTGCCCACTGAAGACCTTTGGCTTCAGCATCACTAAACTATCACACGTCTGGGTTAGGTTTGCATCTGAATTGCGATTTCCCCATTTGAAAATCACCTCTTTAGCAGTTAGCTAAATGTGACTGCAGTGACTCACACCTGTAATCCCAGCACTTTGGGAGGCCGAGGCAAGTGGATTACAAGGTGAGAAGTTCGAGACCAGCCTGACCAACATGGTGAAACCCCATCTCTACTAAAAATACAAAAATTAGCTGGGGGTGGTGGCGGGTGCCTGTAGTCCCAGCTACTTGGGAGGCTGAGGCAGGAGAATCACTTGAACCTGGGAGGCAGAGATTGCAGTTGAGCTGAGATCACACCACTGCACTCCAGCCTGGGCGACAGAGCAAGACTCCATGTCAAAAAACAAAAAACATAGGCATAGAAGCAGGACTGGAAAGGTACCCTGTAAGCAGCACGGACAGTGAGTGGTGTGGGGGACCGAAGAGTCCTCCTTATCAGAGTGGCTTTCAGTACATTTCTGTGGGGCTCCACCCATGTGTCAGACACTGCTAGGAGTGTGGGTTCCTTGCGGTCTCTACAAACCCCGTGTGAGAATGAGTGCCATGTGGGAGGGAGAAGCCATGTGATCTGTACATATCAGCTGGGGTGGGGAAGGGAGGTCCGTGATGGCTAATGGGGTGTGCTGGGGAAGGAGGTGTGTCCAGGTCCCAGCTCTGCCTAACAGCTCCCTCCCTCATGCTCCAGAATGACTTGAGCCTGCATTTTCCCTTTCTCTGATGCTACTCTACTCAGCAAATGACCTCACGCCTATTGTAGGGAAAAAACAGCAGCCATCAGGTGGGGACTCCTGGAGCCTTTAATCTCCAAGCCTCCCCTCGTCCTGTTTCCCTCCTCTCCAACACCAGTGTCTTCCTCTGGGCTTTGGGTGTCTTCTCCCTGATCTTCTCCAGACCTTTACACTGGCCAGGATCCTGTCTTGTATTTGTATTCCTCCTTTTAGGTGGATCCCCGCATTGATATTCAGATGTGCTTGTCTCCTTCCCCTTCATAAACTTCCCTTTTTTTGAGATGGAGTCTCACATATTGCCCAGGCCAGAGTGTAGTGGCACAACCTTGGCTCACTGCAACCTCCACCTCCCAGATTCAAGCAATTCTCCTATCTCAGCCTTCTAGGTAGCTGGGATTCAGGCGTCCACCAACATGCCCGGCTAATTTTTCTATTTTTAGTAGAGACAGGAGTTTCGCCATGTTGTCCAGGCTGGTCTGTAACTCCTGACTTCAGGTTTGGGAGGCCAAGGAGGGTGGATTGCCTGAGCTCAGGAGTTTGAGACCACCGTAGGCAACGTGGTGAAACCCGGTCTCTAATTTAAAAAAAAAATTAGCCAGGCGTGGTGGCGGACGCCTGTAGTCCGAGTTACTCAGGAGGCTGAGACTTGAGAATTGCTTGATCCCAGGAGGTGGAGGTTGCAGTGAGCCAAGATCACGCCACTGCACTCTAGCCTGGGCGACAGATCAAGACTCTGTCTCAAAAATTAAAAAAAAAAATGTGACTCTGTTCATGTGTCCTTCTGCTTAGCATCCTTTAATAGCTTCTCATTGTTCTTACGATGAAAACCCAAACCCCAGTATGGCCTTCAAGGCTCCATGTGGTCTGGCACCTCTTACTCACAAACTGCATCTTGACTTCTGTGCCATGCTGCCCTTTTAGGGTGAATGTCCCATGCTCCCTGTCACCACAGGGCCTCTGCATATACTGTCCCCTCTGCCTGGAATGGGCCTTCCCATCCTTCAGCTCATTAATTCCTGCGTAATTTCAGATCTCAGCCAATCTTCACTTTTTTGTCTAAGCCTTTTTATTCGTGTGAGTCTTTAAAGTCTGTCCCATCAGACCTGAAGCACTGTAAAAGGGCAAAGACAGTTACAATAACCTTTGTATTCTCCAGCTCCTAGCACAGCACTTGACATGTAGTAGGTGCTTCGACAGATACCCAGTGGGAATTGTGTGCAGGGTAGAGGAAGTAGCGTCTGCAGGGCGTGAGAAACAGTAGCATTTTGGAGAAAACTAACATATTGATGGCTAAAGTGTGGGTTTTGCAGAAGACAAGTGGTAAGAGATGAAGCTGGAAGGGCAGGCAGGACCCAGGCTGTGAAGGGCCCTATTTGGCCAATATTGGTACTAGGACCCATAGGATGTGGGCAGTCAGTAGTCTCCCCGACTTGGGGAAAGAGGAATAAGCATAGGATGAGGCGTGAGCCTTGAGAGATGGGTGGGGCTTGGCCCACTTCTGATTCCCCTGCGTAGAAGATGTAATGAGTTTTAACACTTCTTTATATGTTTTTCATCAGCTACATCTGGTACCTTGGCTGGCATTATGGGAATGAGGTTCTACCACTCTGGAAAATTCATGCCTGCAGGTTTAATTGCAGGTGCCAGGTACTTTCATTCTATTACTCTTCTTTACCATGTAGAGTTCAGTTTATTCCCCAGGATACCTTATGCATTCAAAACCTTACTTGTTTCAGGATATCTGATGCTATGTATCAACTGACATTTGATATATACACTAATAGGAAATGTTTCAAAAACAATAGCTAGTTTAATGTCAAAATGGCATGAGTATATCCATTCACCGTGGAAATGGGTTTGTTCTCATATTTGCTTTCCAGTCCATCCAAACTCCTCCCTATATGGTGGCAGAAGTTTTAGTGCAAAGCCATGACTGCAGCCTTTTGTGTGACTTGCATGGAAGATTTGGGGGCCCCATATTTCTTAGATGTGTAGATGTCTTTTACAGAAAATTTTGCTAAAAGAGAATTTTGATTGAATCCTGTTTTCTATTTTTTGTTGTTGTTATTGAGACGGAGTATCACTCTGTCACCCAGGATGGAGTGCAATGGCGTGATCTCCGCTCACTGCAATCACCATCTGCCTCCCGGGTTCAAGCGATTCTCATGCCTCAGCCTCCGGAGTAGCTGGGATTACAGGCGTGCACCACCATGCCCAGCTATTTTTGTTGTTTTGGTAGAGATGGTGTTTCACCACATTGGCCAGGCTGGTCTGGAACTCCTGATCTTGTGATCCGCCCACTTCGGCCTCCCAAAGTGCTGGGATTACAGGCGTGACCCACTGCGGCTGGCCCTGTTTTCTAATTTTGATTATAAAACCTAAACCAAATTGTGGTTTTTAAAAAATTTAGTTGTGGCTGGGCACAGTGGTTCACACCTGTAATCCCAGCAATTTGGGAGGCAGAGGCAGGCGGATCACCTGATGTCAGGGGTTCAAGACCATCCTGGCCAACATTGCGAAACCCCGTCTCTATGAAAAATACAAAAATTAGCTGGTTATGGTAGTGGGCACTTGTAATCCCAGCTACTCGGAAGGCTGGGGCAGGGAGAATTGCTTCAACCTGGGAAGCGGAGATTACAGTGAGCTGAGATCATGCCACTGCACTCCAGCCTGGGGGACAGAGCAAGACTCCATCTCAAAAAACAAACAAACAAACAAACAAAACTTTAGTTGTAGGCCAGGTGTGGTGGCTCATGCCTACAATCCCAGCACTTTGGGAGGCCAGAGCGGGCGGATCACTTGAGGTCAGGAGTTCAAGACCAGTCTGCCCAACATGGTGAAACCCCATCTCTATGAAAAATACAAAAATTAGCCGGGCATGGTGGTGCACACCTGTAATCACAGCTACTTGGGACACTGAGTCAGGAAAATCTCTTGAACCTGGGAGACGGAGGTTGCAGTGAGCCGAAATTGTGCTGCTGAACTCCAGCCTGGGCAACAGAGGTGAGTGAGACTCCATCTGAAAAAATAAAAATAAAAAACCTTCTCAAAAACAAAAAATTTAGTTAAGTATCATAAAGACATCCTGAAGGTAGGGGAATTTTTAAAAATCTGTTTTGGAGAAAGATTACATACTCTGATCATAGTTGTGATGCTACCAGTATAATGTTTTATACCTGAAGCAAGGAAGTCAGTGTGGAGCAAGGTCTAGAGCAGTAAACTGAGACGCTGGAGAGTCTACCATTAATCAGATCTGTGATGGTGGGGAGGCCTTGCTCTCTCTTGCCTCCATTTCTTCATCTCTTCAAATTATTGGCAGTTGGGTTAGGATCCAGCTCATGTGTGCTATTTTAAGACTCCCTTGGCTTGCTTTTTCTCTGGTTCCTCCAGGGATGGAAATTTACCCCTGACCACTCTTGCCTTAGTACCTCCTCCCCCACGCAGTTGTGAGGAACCAGCAGTTTAGTTCCTTAAAAACATAGTTGCCTGTTCTGTCCTTTACCTGACATTTTCTATCTTGTTTCTTTTAAACAGTTTGCTGATGGTCGCCAAAGTTGGAGTTAGTATGTTCAACAGACCCCATTAGCAGAAGTCATGTTCCAGCTTAGACTGATGAAGAATTAAAAATCTGCATCTTCCACTATTTTCAATATATTAAGAGAAATAAGTGCAGCATTTTTGCATCTGACATTTTACCTAAAAAAAAAGACACCAAACTTGGCAGAGAGGTGGAAAATCAGTCATGATTACAAACCTACAGAGGTGGCGAGTATGTAACACAAGAGCTTAATAAGACCCTCATAGAGCTTGATTCTTGTATATTGATGTTGTCTTTTCTTTCTGTATCTGTAGGTAAATCTCAAGGGTAAAATGTTAGGTGTCAGCTTTCAGGGCTCTGAAACCCCATTCCCTGCTCTGAGGAACAGTGTGAAAAAAAGTCTTTTAGGAGATTTACAATATCTGTTCTTTTGCTCATCTTAGACCACAGACTGACTTTGAAATTATGTTAAGTGAAATATCAATGAAAATAAAGTTTACTATAAATAATATTTCCTATGGGGTCTTCATTGCCAGAGCTGTCTAGTTCATAGAATGAGATATTGCTAGCAGCAAGATATAGAAACATGAAAGTATTTTGTTAATATTTAGAAATTACCTATTTTGAATAACTTAAGGACCAAGGAAACTTATTTGATTGTACATTGCATTGAAGCTTGTTTCAAAAATGACCTCTGAGGATTTTTTTTGTTTTTCAAGAGACAAGGTCTTTCTCTGTTGCCTAGGCTGGAGGGCAGTGGTGCAATCATATGTCACTGTAGCCTCAAACTCTTGGGTTCAGTCATCCCACCTCAGCCTCCTGAATAGCTGGTACTACTGGTGCATACCACCACACCCAGCTAATGTACTTTTTTTTTTTTTGGAGATGCAGTCTTGCTCTGTTGCCCAGGCTGGTCTCAAACTCCTGGTCTCAAGTGATCCTCTCGCTTTGGCCTCCCAAAATGTACTGGAGTAATAAGCATGACCTACTGTACCTGGCCACTGAGGTTTTCTTCTTTTTTTTTTTTTTTTGAAACGGAGTTTCGCTCTTGTTGCCCAGGCAACCTCTGCCTCCCGGGTTCAAGCCATTCTCCTGCCTCAGCCTCCCAAGTACCTGGAATTACAGGCATGCGCCACCATGCCCGGCTAATTTTGTATTTTTAGTAGAGACGAGGTTTTCCATGTTGGTCAACCTGATCTCAAACTCCCGACCTCAGGTGATCCGACTGCCTCAGCCTCCCAAAGTGCTGGGATTACAGGTGTGAGCCACCATGCCCGGCAGCCACTGAGGATTTCTAAAGTTAGGACTGTGGGCTGGGCACGGTGGCTCACGCCTGTAATCCCCACACTTTGGGAAGCCGAGGCAGGCGGGTCACAAGGTCAGGAGTTCGACACCAGCATGGCCAATGTGCTAAAACCCCATCTCTACTAAAAATACAAAAATTAGCCAGGTGTGGTGGCGGGCGCCTGTAGTCCCAGCTACCAGAGAGGCTGAGGCAGGAGAATCACTTCAACCCGGGAGGCAGAGGTTGCAGTGAGCCAAGACCGCGCCACTGCACTCCAGCCTGGGCGATGAGACTCTATCTCAAAAAAAAAAAAAAAAAAAAAATTAGGATTGTGTAGCAAAATTAAAAGGTGATTTTTTTGTTGTAATTAGTTCATACATAAATGTGAAACTAGAAAACCCATCTAGAGCTTGAATCACCTAGTTTGGTGTCTTTGTTGGACACATTAACTGGATACTGGTACCGTTTCAACACGAAGAATTAACTCAATCTGGTAGCCCTTGCTTTAGTTTTCATTCCGTCTTTAAAAAGGAAAACATACCATGTTCTCTACCCTGTTACTGCTTCAGAGTTTAATTCAGGCACTTTATGTATTTGCATAAGCCCCTTGAAAGTGGTCCTAGTTTTCCATCCTTTTTTATAGGACACTGAACAACTAAGGGCACTTGTGTTGGAGTGATAGAGGCATCAGAAGGCCATAGACCATCCAAACCTACCATCCTCCCAGGCTTCCATAGCTAAGAGTTTGAATCATGTTGGCCCTTTCATGTGTCATGCAGTGTTGCCAAAGGGCACACATTTTTGCCACCTTCAGTCCTAGAGGAGGACCTGGCTCCTGAATGACAAGGTTCCCTGAAGGTGGGATTAGTTTAGGTGCCAAGTAGACTGTAACTATTTGGTCCCCAGCAATCAACCTGGAAAATTCTAAGGCTGCCCACAGATGAGAGGCAAGAGGTCTTCATAGCTCTTGCCAAGTCCCCTTGTCCCTGCTTCTCTGCAAAAATCCCTGAATATTTACTATCGTTAAGGGTTGTACTGGGTCCTGGTGGGTCCGGAATTGGTTCCTTCCAGTACACTCTTGGTGTTGCCAACTTCAAGAATGAAGCCTTAGACCCTCGAAGTAAGTGTTACAGTTCCTAAAAGATTGTGAGTCCGGAGTGTCTTTCTTCTGGTGGGTTCGTGGTCTCGCTGATTTCAGGAGTGAAGCTGCAGACCTTCGCTGTGAGTGTTAACAGCTTTTAAATGTGGCGCGACCAGAGTTCATTACTCCCTTGCGGTTTTGTAGTCTCCCTGACTTAAGGCGTGAAGCCGCAAACCTTCAGTGTTACAGCTCTTAAAGGTGGCGTGCCCAGAGTTGTTCTTTCCTCCCAGTGGGTTCGCTGACTTCAGGAGTGAAGCCAGACCTTCGCACGGAGTGTTACAACTCTTAAAAGCGGCACGTCTGGAATTGTTTGTTCCTCCCCATGGGTGCGTGGTCTTGCTGATTTCAGGAGTAAAACCACAGACTTCTACGGTGAGTGTTACAGCTCATAAACATAGAGCAGACACAAAAACTGAGCATCAGCAAGATTATAAAGATCAAACTACCCACAGGAGGGAAGAGTACCCAAGCTGCTGTTGGCTCCGGTTGCCAGGTTTTATTCCCTAATTTGGCCCTGCCCACATGCTGCTGATTGGTCCATTTTTACAGAGTGCTGATCCGGCGTTTACAAACCTTTAGCTAGACACAGAGTGCTGATTGGTGCGTTTTTACAGAGTGCTGATTGGTGTGTTTACAAACCTTTAGGCACAGAGCACTGATTGGGTGTTTACAATGCTTTAGCTAGACAAAAAAGTTCTCCAAGTCCCCACCAGACCTGGAGAGCAGCCGGCTTCACCTCTCACTAGCAGTGCAAAGAACAAGCCATGGTGCTTGCCCTTCTGGAGTCTAGTGGAGGAGATGGACATCTAAACAAAGGCAGTATAGAAATAAGTGTATAATGGAGGTAGATCCATATTACTGTGGGGGCACAAGGAGGGGAGTGGGCATTTCTGTTAGGGAGTCAAGGTAGGCTTCACAAAGGAACCAATAGTTAAACTGAGTCTTGTCAGTTGATTCACGAGTCAGTTGACGTGCACTCCTTTTGTGAGTTGTCTATGAGGAATTCACAGACAAGGACAGGGCAAATGTCTCAGGTAGAGGGAGCAATATATACTGTGCCTCAAAGGCATGAAACTAGGTATTACAACTGGGTTCAACCCTTTCCTTAGAGATCTAATTCTTTTTAATGGCTTTTAAGTTGTATAGATGTTTACTACTTAGTTTACCATTCTCCTACTCATAGAAATATGTCTTATTTAATACCTCTGATAGCCGGGCGCGGTGGCTCATGCCTGTAATCCCAGCACTTTGGGAGGCCGAGGTGGGTGGATCACGAGGTCAAGAGATCGAGACCGTCCTGGCCAATATGGTGAAACCCCATCTCTACTAAAAATACAAAAATCAGCTGGGTGTGGTGGCGTGCACCTGTAGTCCCAGCTACTCAGGAGGCTGAGGCAGGAGAATCACTTGAACCCAGGAGGCGGAGGTTGCAGTGAGAGGAGATTGCGCCACTGCACTCCAGCCTGCTGACAGAGCAAGACTCCATCTCAAAACAAACAAACAAACAAAAAGAAAACCGGCCGGGCACAGTGTCTCATGCCTGTAATCCCAGCACTTTGGGAGGCCGAGGAGGGCAGATCACAAGGTTAAGAGATCAAGATCATCCTGGCTAATATGGTGAAATCCCATCTCTACTAAAAATACAAAGAATTAGCCGGGTGTGGTTGCACGCCCCTGTAGTCCCAGCTACTTGGGAGGCTGAGGCAGGAGAATCGTTTGAACCCTGGAGGCGGAGATTGCAGTGAGCCGAGATCGCACTGCACTCCAGCCTGGGAGACAGAGTGAGACTCCGTGTCAAAAAAAAAAAAAAAAAACAGATGGTTTACCAAGGAATATCTTTGGAAATCCCCGTGAACATGTGCAAAGGAATCTGTAGGTTACATTCCTAAACGCTGTGTCAGAGCATCTCAGCAGTTCAAGTTGTGATTGCCCTCAGAAGAAAATGCACCAATTTACCCTACTTCCAGTGGTGGCTAACTTTGTGGAATTGGACTTTTTAAAAATCTTTGACACATGAAGCTAGGAGTCTGCAAACTTTTTCTGTAAAGGGCCAGATATGAATATTTTAGGCTTCGCAGGCCATCTTTGTCCCAGCTGCTCATCTCTGCCTTTGTAGGATGAAAGCAGCCATAGCCAATAAGTAAATAAGCAAGGGTGACTGTTCCAATAAAACTGTACTTATGGGCCTTGAAATCTGGATTTCATATGATTTCTACATATTACAAAATAGTAATCTTATTTTTATTTTCTTCAACCATTTAAAAATGCAAAACCGTTCTTAGCTTGCTGTCTGCACAAAAACAGGCAATGGACTAGAATTAGCTCACTGACCATAGTCATGCCACCCCCGATCTACCCAAAAAATGTTATCTAATGGTTTCAGTGATTTAGTTATGAATTATTACATCTTTCATACATTTATTGACCAGTTATATTTTTTCTGTGAGCAGTCTTTCATCCCTTTTGTCCATGTTTTTGGTTTTTTTGTTTTTTAATTGAAAACATTGGATAGTCTGAGACTTTCTATGTAGTATAAAAATGTGTTCCCTATCATATGTATTGAAAATATTTTCCTCTCACTTGTTATTTGTGTCTCGATTTTGTTTATGTGTTTTTTTTGCCGTTGTACAGAAAGTAAACATTTATGAAATCAAATTTATTATATTTTCTTTATGGCTTTCAGATTGAAACCACTATTGCAATTTTTTTTTTTTTTTGAGACGGAGTCTTGCTCTGATGCCCAGGCAGGAGTGCAGTGGTGCCATCTCGGCTCACTGCAACCTCCGCCTCCCAGGTTCAAGCAATTCTTCTGCCTCAGCCTCCTGTGTAGCTGGGACTACAGGCACGTGTCACCACGCCTGGCTAATTTTTTGTATTTTTAGTAGAGATGGGGTTTCACCGTGTTAGCCAGGATGGTCTCGATCTCCTGACCTTGTGATCCGCCCCCCTCGGCCTCCCAAAGTGCTGAGATTACAGGTGCGAGCCACCCCGCCTGGCCAGCATTGCAAAATTATAACTGAGACAGTGAAAGAGATCTGACCTAACCAACGCCATCTTGCTTCTACCGTCCAAGCTGTCCTTGTTCATTCTGGTGTGGGCTGAACTAACTGTGGGAAGAACTTAGTTTATAGTTTATTTATTCAATTTTTTCTGAGTTGGAGTCTTGCTCCATTGCCCAGGCTGGAGTGCAGTGGCACGATCTCAGCTCACTGCAACCTCTGTGTCCTGGGTTCAAGGGATTCGCCTGCTTCAGCCTCCCAAGTAGCTGGGATTACAGGCGCATGCCACCATGCCTGGTTAATTTTGTATTTTTAATAAAGACGGGGGTTTCACCATGTTGGCCAGGCTTGTCTTGAACTCTTGACTTCAAGTGGTCCACTCGCCTCGGCCTCCCAAAGCGATGGGATTACAGGCGTGAGCCACCATACCTGGCCTGAAATTATCTTATTTTCTTCCAATGCTTTTATAGTTTTATCTTTTAGGTTTCTATTTTTAAAATTTATTAATTAACAAATAATTGTCCATATTATGGGGTACAATGTGATGTGATGTTTTAATCTCTGTATGTATTATAGAAAGATTCAATCAAGCTAAGCTGTCATATTACCAAATTACCATTTCTTGTGTGGTGAGAGCACTTCTATTTTTAATGCTACTTTAGAATTTATTTTTGTGTGTGATGGTGCAAATTAGGGATCTGATTATTTTCTCCAAAATATAGCCATTACCTTAATATTATTTATTGAAAAATGTTAATTCCTCATTGCTTTGGAATGCCACTTTTACCATGTGCTGAATTTCTGTATTTGGAATTGATTCTGGGTTTTCTAGCCTCTTCCAGGGATTTCTTTATTTTCTGTCCCAGTGCCAAATTGTATTAATTACTGTAGCTTTGTACCATATGCTGATATTTAGTCGGACAAGTCTGTCGTTGCTTTTCAGATTTTTCCTGACACAGTAACTTTACAAGCTAAATCTGGAATTAGCCTTTCTGCTTGTTTGTTTTTTTATTTTTTTTCCTTTTTTGTTAGAATTAGCCTTTTAATTTTTAAATTTTACTTGGGATTTTATTATGACACATTGATAGATAATGAAGGAGATTGAAAGCTTTAAAATATTTCCTCTTATCCAGGAACATTGTATGTTCCTTCATTTAATTCAGGTGTTTTGTTTGTTTGTTTGTTTGTTTTGAGACAGAGTCTTTGTCTGTTGCCCAGGCTGGAGTGCAGTGGCGTGATCTTGGCTCACTGCAACCTCCGCCTCCTGGGTTCAAGTGATTCTCCTCCCTCAGCCTCCCAAGTAGCTGGGATTACAGGCGTGCACCACCACAGCTAGCTAACTTTTGTATTTTTAGTAGAGACGGGGTTTCACCATGTTGGCCAGGCTGGTCTTAAACTCCCAACCTCAGGTGATCCACCTGCCTCAGCCTCCCAAAGTGCTGCGATTACAGGTGTGAGCCACTGCACCCAGACTTTTTTTTTTTTTTTTGAGACAGTGTCTCGCTCTGTCGCCCAGGCTAGAGTGCAGTGGCATGATCTCAGCTCACTGCAACTTCTGCCTCCCAGGTTCAAGCAATTGTCCTGCCTCAGCCTCCCAAATAGCTGGGATTACAGGAGCCTGCCACCACACCTGACTAATTTTTGTGTTTTTAGTAGAGGCAGCATTTCGCCATGTTGGCCAGGCTGGTCTTGAACTCCTGACCTCAGGTGATCTACCCACCTCAGCTGGCAAATGGATTACAGGCATGAGCCACCACACCCGGCAAGTTCAGGTTTTTTAAAAAATGTCCTAAAACAATATTTTAGAGCTTTATTCACATAGTACTTTACACTTTTAGTAAGATCGTGGATTATTTTATAGTTTTGTGGTATTTTGAATTTTTTGTATTTTATAGTATTTTATAGTTTTGTTATTATGAATGGGTACTTTTTCATGTATTTTCTAACTAGATATCAGTCTGAACAAAATGAATTCCTGACGTTAATATTGCTGCTTCTGTCACCTCACTCAAGCATATTACTTGCTTTCGGTTTTTATGAGCTACTTTTTATCTGATTCTATGGCTTTATGTTAAAGTTAGAAATAATAGGATGTTTACTATCACTGGCAACATTCAACATAGTTCTAGAGAAATTAGACAAAGCAATAAAAAAGATAATTTGAGAGGTATAAATTAATAGTAGAAAATAACTTAAACATTTTTAACAGCTGATAATTATCTATCTGGAAAATCCACGAGAAGCAACTAAAAACCGATTGGAACTAACAGAGATCTTTAAAGCAGCAAGAAACAAGATCAACACTGAAAACGAATAGCTTTCTATCAATAGCCATAATCCATTCTCTCCCATAATATTGCTAATGTCCAAGTCCAACCCTTTCTATCTTTTACCTGGTTATTTAAATAATCTTCTGCAAGGAATACTTCTTTTCATGCTATGGCCCTATAAGTCATTCTTTACCCAGCAGGCAGAGGCATAGCTCAAGTATAGACTTCTAGACTTAAAACTACTCAATGGTCCCTGACTACACTTACATTTCTCTTTTAGCTCTTATAACATCCTGTTCTTTTTCTTAATAGCACTCGTCACAATTTGCAAACATACATGTTTTTGTGTGTTTATTGAATATCTGCCTCTAGAATAAATGTTGTATAAAGGCAGGAAAAACAACACTTTTGTTACTACCATATATACTTAGAACACAGTAGGGAATTTAGTAAGTCTTTGCTGAATACATTGATCAAATCTACTGGGTGTTTTTTTTGTTTGTTTGTTTGTTTGTTTTGAGTCAGAGTCTTGCTCTGTTGCCCAGACTGGGGTGCAATGGCATGATCTCGGCTCACTGCAACCTCCATCTCTCAGGTTCAAGTGATTCTCGTGCCTCAGCCTCCCAAGTAGCTGAGATTACAGGCACCTGCCACCATGCCTGGCTAATTTTTGTATATTTAGTAGAGACGGGGTTTCACCATGTTGGCCAGGCTGGTCTTGAGCTCCTGACCTCAGGTAATCTGCCCACCTCAGCCTCCCAAAGTGCTGGGATTACAGGCATGAGCCACCGCGCCCGGCCAATGGTAAGTATTTGAATATCTAAACATAATTAAGCACAGAAAATGGATAGTAAAAATATGGTTTTATAATCTTACAGTATTCGCATCATAAACGTGGTCTCTCATTGACCAAAAACATAGTTAATGTGGCACATGACTATATATTGAGTGATTTCTATTGAATTCTGGACACATTTGTGTTATGTTATGAGACACTGGCTCTTATTTATTTTTTAAGACAGAGTCTCGGCCGGGCGCGGTGGCTCACGCCTGTAATCCCAGCACTTTGTGAGGCTGAGGCAAGCAGATCACGAGATCAGGAGATCAAGACCATCCTGGCTAACACAGTGAAACCCCGTCTCTACTAAAAATACAAAAAATTAGCCAGGCGTGGTGGCGGGCGCCTGTAGTCCCAGCTACTCCAGAGGCTGAGGCGAGAGAATGGCGTGAACCTGGGAGGCGGAGCTTGCAGTGAGCCAAGATCGTGCCACTGCACTCCAGCCTGGGCGACAGAGCGAGACTCCGTCTCAAAAATAAAAAATAAAAATAAAAATAAAAAGAGTCTCTATTTGTCTCCCAGTTTGGAGTGCAGCGGTGTGATCTCGGCACACTGCAACCTCCGCCTCCTGGGTTCAAGCGATTTTCGTGCCTCAGCCTCCCGAGTAACCGGAATTACAGGCGCACACCACCACGCCTAATTTTTGTATTTTTAGTAAAGACGAGGTTTCACCATGTTTACCAGGCTCGTTTCGAACCGACCTCAAGTGATCCGCCTGCCTCGCCGTCCCAAAGTGCTGGGATTACAGGCGTGAGCTCCGGCCTCTGGCTCTTATTTAAACCTTTTGTTTTAACTGATTTTCTCTGACACTGCTATGGGAAGGGAAGAAGGATGCTACTGCCAGATGGAAGTAGGTGACTTTTGGTGACACATGAGGTTCTCTGCTTGACCTCCAGTGACACCCAAAGAGTGGGGGCTTATTAGTGACAGGTGGTCTGGGAGCTGTGGCTTTCCTTGTGGTCTCTATTGGCTCCACATTGGGGAGGGGACTTGATACCAGCCACTGGGAATGAAACAACCAGCTCCCTACTTACTGTCCTGTGAGCATGGGTCAGAGTGGGGCTTCAGTTTGATGTGTGGTTTGGCTGCAGCAGAGTGGTCACTGCCTGAAAGTTTTGCTAGGCTGCTCCTTGTGTGGTCCTTTGGCTAGAAAGAGCAGGATTTTTGTTCATGCACTTTTTTATTATTATTATTTGGTCCATGCCTGTCCATTCTGCTAGGTTTTCTTTTTTTCTTTTTTTTTTTCCTTTGAGACTGAGTTTAGCTTTTGTTGTGCAGTGGTGTGATCTCAGCTTACTGCAACCTCTGCCTCCCGGGTTCAAGTGATTCTCTTGCCTCAGCCTCCTGAATAGCTGGGATTACAGGCTCCCACCACCACGCCCAGCTATTTTTTGTATTTTTAGTAGAGACGGGGTTTCACCATGTTGGCCAGGGTGGTCTTGAACTCCTGACCTCAGGTGATCCACCCGCCTCAGCCTCCCAAAGTGCTGGGATTACAGGCAGGAGCCACCACGCCTGGCTGGCCATTCTGCTAGGTTTTCACCTTTTTTTTTTTTTTTTTTTAGGCTTTGTCTCGCTGTGTCGCCCAGGCTGGAGTGCAGTGGCATGATATCGGCTCACTGCAACCTCTGCCTCCCGAGTTCAAGCCATTCTCCTGCCTCAGCCTCCCAAGTAGCTGGGATTACAGGCATGAGCCACCATGCCCGGTTGGTTTTCACATTTAAGTCTGGGATATATAAGGGAAACAATTTTAGGGAACTTACCATGGCATTCCTGAGTCCCAAGATCCCTGACTGGTCAGACTTTTCTCCACCTTTCAGAGCCTTCTTATGTGTCATCTATATATGATGTCCAGGGTTTTTAGTTGCACTTAGTGAGAGAGGAAAGTACGTCTACTCTATCATCCCAGAAAAGCAAGTTTCTGAATATGATTTTTAGATGGAATAAAAATGGATACAAATGTAATTCCTCTTATGCCATTCTCCCTAGAATCAATGTAGGATCACCTTATGATAATGAAGTTACTTGAGGCTGGGTGCGGTGGCTCACACCTATAATCCCAGCACTTTGGGGGGCAGAGGGAGGTGGATCACCTGAGGTCAGGAATTCAAGACCAGCCTGGTCAACACGGTGAAACCCGGTGTCTACTAAAGATAAAAAAATGAGCCGGGTGTGGTTGCTGGCGCCTGTAATCCCAGCTGCTTGGGAGGCTGAGGCAGGAGAATTACTTGAACCCGGGAGGCAGAGGTTGCAGTGGGCCGAGATGATGCCACTGCACTCCAGCCTGGGCAAGAGTGAGACTCTGTCTCAAAAAAAAAAAAAAAAAAAGCGACTTGATGAAGCTTCCATGTTATTTAATTCTACTCAGTTCCTAGGGAATGCATATTACAGCAAAGTTGAGTATAATGCAGATATTCCTGAGAGGTGAAGCCGACTGGGCTTCTGGGTCGGGTGGGGACTTGGAGAACTTTTCTGTCTAGCTAAAGGATTATAAACACACTAATCAGCACTCTGTGTTTAGCTAAAGGTTTGCAAACGCACCAGTCAGCACTCTGTGTCTAGCTAATCAGGTGGGGACTTGGAGAACTTTTGTGTCTACCTAAAGGATTGTAAACGCACCAATCAGCACTCTGTAAAACGGACCAATCAGCACTCTGTAAAATGGACCAATCAGCAGGATGTGGGTGGGGCCAAATAAGGGGCCAAAAGCAGGCCACCCGAGCCAGCAGTGGCAACTCTCCTATCAGTCCTGTTCCATGCTGTTGCAGTTTTCTTCCTTTGCACTTTGCAATAAATCTTACTGCTGTTACTGCTGGTTACTGTTTGGGTCCTCACTGCCTTTATGAGCTGTAACACTCACTGTAAAAGTCTGCAGGTTCACTCCTGACACTAGCGTAAATGACAAGCCCATTGGGAGGAACGAACAACTCTGGAGGTGCCATCTTTAAGAGCTGTAACACTCATTGCAAAGGTCTGCAGCTTCACTCCTGAAGCCAGCAAGACCATGAGCCCACAGGGAGGAATGAACAACTGTGGACGTTCCGCCTTTATGAGCTATATAACACTGACTGCGAAAGTCTGCAGCTTCACTTCTGAAGCCAGCGGGACCATGAACCCACAGGGGAGGAATGAACAGCTCTGGATGCACCACCTTTAAGAGCTGTTAACAGTCAACGGCGAAGGTCTGTGGCTTCACTCCTGAGGCCTGTGCAGGTCACTGAACCCAGCGGAAAGAAGAAATTCCAGACACATCCAAACAGCTGAAGGAACAGACTGTGGACACACTATTTTTAAGAACTGTAAACACCGTGAGGGTCCGTGGCTTCATTCCTGAAGTCAGCGAGACCAAGAACCCACCGGAAGGAACCAATATTTGGACACATTCGTATCAGCTGTTTAAAATTCTTGGTGGGGGCCGGGAGCTGTGGCTTAACGCCTGTAATCCCAGTACTTTGGAAGGCTGAGGTAGGTGGATCACGAAGTCAGGAGTTTGAGAACAGCCTGGGCAATATGCTGAAACACCTGTCTCTAGTAAAAATAAGAAAATTAGTAGGGCATGGTGGCATGTGCCTGTAATCCCAGCTACTTGGGAGGCTGAAGCAGGAGAATCGCTCAACCCGGGAGGCAGAGGTTTCCGTGAGCTAAGATCGCGCCACTGCACTCCAGCGTGGGTGACAGAGCAACACTCAGTCTCAAAACAGAATTCTTCATGGGACATTTAACTGAAAGGCTTAAACTGGCTTAAGTCTATTTTAAGACACGGGGTCTCTGTCACCTTTTGCAGTGGCATGATTATAGCTTCCTGCAGCTTTGAACTCCTGGGCTCAAGCAATCCTCCTGCCTCAGCCTCCTGAGTAGCTGTGACTACAGGCATCCACCATCACACCCAGCTAATCTTATTTTTTTTGTAGAGACTGGGTTTCATCATGTTGGTCAGGCTGGTTTCGAACTCCTGACCTCAAGTGATCTGCTTGCCTTGGCCTCCCAAAATATTGGGATTACAGACATGAGCCACTGCGCCCAGCCAGAGGGTGTTTTTTTAATGTGGCATTTGAAAATAAAAAGTTGGAATATACATTTGTTTTTGGGAGTATTCAATACTTTTAAGGAAGATTAATATGTTTGTGAAATACAGGGGAAAGCTTTTAGTACAAGTTAAGTATAGATAAATCTTAGTTTTTAAAACATAGGCAGATTTTATTAGATGTGTTAAGTAGTAAGTAGAACATGTGTTAGACACAGAAAGGAATAGAAAGTCCAGGATACCTAACATTCCTAGCTACCAAGTATACATGAGACACCTGAGCATGAAATATTTGATACATTAAATGTCCAAGAGGCACTAAATACAGTGCATAAAATATACATAAGCATGAAATAGTCATGCTATTCACTTCTGTCCCCAAGTGTCCTCTGTCCAAGAAACACAGTAAAACCCATGGTTGCTCCACAGGCCAACAGGCAAAGCTCAGCTCTTTGCTAGGCTTGCTTGTACCTGCATCTCGGACAGAGCAAGTTTGTGTCATTGGCGTGGGGCACCTTGCCTCTTTGAGTCTCCTTGCTCAAACCTGTCGTCTTCAGCACCACGATCCACAGGAAAGTCAATATCACAGAGAGGGGTGGAGGTTGGGGCAGGTGGGGGATGGTGGCCCCTGAACATTGTATGAGGTAGGCTTTAGGTAGCAGGCATCTTCCACCAGATTTGCACCGTCTCTTGACAGCGTTTACTTATCCCATCTCTTTCCTCTTGCTTTTCACTGTCTCTTTAAATTGATTTAAATAAACTAAGAGATTCAAGCATTTTAATTTGATCTGTGAGCTTTTCTGCTCACTGATCTCTGAGGTAGTATACCTGGAGGCCATCGCATTTCCCACATGATAACAATTCATATCAAAATACGGAATCCATTTGGGGAAGTCAGGTAGATTGCTTCCCTTTTCTTCCTGAGAATGGATAGTCTGCATATAGTCTTAGCCGTCCATGTGTTGAATGATCAACTTTTCTATTTATGTAGAACAGGTTTTAATCACACATACACTCCTTCCTGATACAATTCCCCATGTGTAAGCATCCATCTCCACCTTCCTTGCTCCATTGTTTATCCGACAGCCATGAAGTGAGTGCTCACCATGTGTGCCAGGTGCTATCCTAGATTCTGAGGGCTAAAAGGAAAAACACAACCCTTCTGAAAGACACAGCTTTGGTAAATAAATTAACATATTGAATGCAATGGCCTGGGGCAGTCATGGGCAGCTTGACTGATTAGTGAAATGTTGAGTTTTTGAATGACACAGGGCCCATGATGTCAACTCAATTTTTCATTTTTCTTTTCTTTTTTTTGGAAATGGAGTCTCCCTCTGTCACCCAGGCTGGAGTGCAGTAGAGTGATCTCGGCTTACTACAACCTCTGCCTCCTAGGTTCAAGCGATTCTTCCATCTCAGCCTCCTGAGTAGCTGGGATTACAGGCGTGCACCATCACACCCGGCTATTTTTTTTTTTTTGTATTGTTAGTAGAGACAGCGTTTCACCATGTTGGCCAGGCTAGTCTCGAACTCCTGACCTCAGGTGATCCATGTGCCTCAGCCTCCCAAAGTGATGGGATTACAGGCGTGAGCCACCGCTCACAGCCTATTTCAGATTTTAAAAGACTCTTCACTGCAAGAAACAAATGCAACTCTGGATGTCCTAAGCTTCAACAGAGGACGTGGGGGTAAGTACATGAGAAGGACACAGGTGTATCTGGCTGAGGCCAAGGCAGGAAGAACCAGAGCCAGGGTACAGCCAGGGCAAACTGTACATGTGGCCTTTGTTCTCCTGTCTGCCGACCACCCCTCTCATTTCTCACTCCACATCTACTTGTCCATTCAACACATGTTTACTGAGTACTGGTTATGGGCCAGGCACTGTGCTAAATGCTGCATAAATATCATCACTCCCATGAAACAAACATGCAAAAAAGGGGGAGGTAGGCTCTACGATGATTAAGCCAGTTACAGAGCAGGTTAGCAGGGAATTGTCATGGAAGGAAAGATGCTGTCGGGGGAAATGCAGATGAGTTGAAGTTTTAAATCAGGTGATTAGGGAAGGTCTCTCTGAGAAGTGACATTTGCGTAAAGACAGAAAGGAGGAGAGGGCGTGAACCAGGAGATTGTCTGGGGAGGCGTTCCAGGCAGATGAAGCAGCTGAGGGCAAGAAGGAAACACAAGTGAGGGGGAAAGAGAAGATGCTGATGTCAGGGAGGAGGATGTGTGGGGCTTTGCAAAGCACTGCCTGAGAAAAGGGGTGCCACCAGAGGGTTTTGGGGAGAGAAATGGCACAGTCAGACTTCTAACCCAAGTGCTCTGGTCACTGTGTTGAGAACAGACTAAGAGACAGAAAAAAGACTCTTCACTGCAAGAAACAAATGCAGAGTTAGGACAGCTCTGCCATTTGCTGTGTGACCTTGTAGTCTGTGCCTCAATTTCTTCCATGTGTAAAGCAGGAGATAATCATAGTCGTCACTGCACAGAGTTGGTATGAAGTGTAAGTTAGTTAACATATGTAAAGCGCTTCCAACAGTGGCAGATAATAAGAACTGCATATGCTTCTGCTAATATTTTTATGGCTCCAATGAATATGATCCAGAAGTAGATGGCAGATAGGTTAGGTTAAGAAAATAGGCGGTTTTTTTTTTATGATTTCATTTATTTCTTGGGGAAAGAGTTATTGACCTTGCTCTTCAAACAAACCTATAAAATACTCCCAAAGATGTAGAAATTGGTATTGTAGACACTTGATAGACATGAATTACCTGGGCAGACTGCAACTTGGGATTTGTTTTTGACGTTTTTGTTCAGGGACTTCTTAATTTGTAAAGTCAACACATTCAGGCTCCAAAAATGCTAAACTAATGCTTACATTGAAGCTCAATTCCCTTTCTTCATGAGCTCTTGTGTTGTGGGAGATGATCTCTACTGCTCTTGCTGTGTGAGTACACACCTGTGTGTGTACCTGTGTTTGTCTACCAGACACAATTCTTACTCAAAGCCTCTTTGTGGGAAAAACAAAACAAAACACCCAAACCTACTGATAGGCCTCAGTGACCAAAGACTAGAAACTTAACATTCCCTGACATAATTTTGATTACACCCTTTTGACACATTTGTGTTCCAGGGTTCCGATAATTCAGTGGGCCCCCAGTGAAGAGCTAAGCTATCTCCTAACAACGTTAATGCCAACTAGAAATATTCCCAAACACAAATCATTGATTGTTTTACTCTGGTACTAATTGAAATAGAGCAGAAACCAATTTCTTTAATTTATTTTATGACATGTTTTGATGGACTTTACCTACACAGAAGAGCTATGTGTTCTGGTTGAGGAACGACACTGCAAGAAGCAGCATATGGTAGAATTAAGGACGCAGGCTTTGACATTAGACCTTACTTTAAATAATAGCTCTACCAGTGACCAGGACTGTAGGTAATTTAATTCTCTGAGGTTCAGCCTCTTCAAGTATAAGGTGGGGAAGGGCTCGAGGATCATGGTGGATGATCCTAATTAAGGTTTGAGGCTTGCACCTGCATAGGGAAGAATGAGTCCCTAAAGCCATTCCCTGCTGGTTAAGACAAGTCTCATTAATTGTTCAGGAAAGTCTTCAATTAAATTGAAGGTCTGGCATACTGCAATTCCTGCAAGTTCTTAGTTATTATCAGCTCTGGCTGGTTAGAAGCAGCTATGATAAACACGGGCTTCAATTTAGCTATCTGGAAGGTAGGTGCTGCTGCAAGTGGAAAGTTTGTCTTTAAGAATATGCGCTGCAATTTGCTTTATTCACTGATGATTATATTGATCGGAGTTGTCTATGTTGATACTTGTAGGGGATGAAGGAGAGGGAGAAGTCAACGATGACAGCAAATTTTAGTGTAGAGCAACTGAGCGAATGGTGGTGCAGGAAACACAGAAGAGGAGCGGCTCGGAAGTGGGAATGGAGATAACATCATACTGTGGACATTCGGAATCCACAGAGCTGCGTGGAAATCAGATTTAACTTGCTCTCTCTCCCCATTTAAGATGCTTCTCAAGTAGCCTCACTCCCTAAAACAAACGGATATTTGGCATTGCGCCACATTATTCTGCAGCTGCCATATTTTCTTGCAGGTGGAAGGCAGGCCCTTCCTGGTGTAAACAAACAAGATCGGGCCAGAGTGACAATCCTCCCTGATGGCCCGCACCTGGTTTATACCCTCTATTAATGGGGTCCTTCAAAATCATCAGATGCCCTCCTCCCGCAGCGGTGGCCTCCACCTCTGGCCTGGCCCAGCTTACGTGGTCCAGCTTGTGCAAGATCCAATTCCAACTCCGGGTTTCCGGCTTTTGGCCACTCAGGATTGGACCTGGGACTGGAGCTGGTCGGCCCTGCAGGTGCTGGGCCTGGGGACTGAGGAAGCACAGAGATTCCCCGCCCGGTTCCCCGCCAACGGCGCTAGCCGCGATGCCCCGCCTCACTCCCCGCCCCCGGGATGCAGGGCGCGTGCTGGTAATCCGCGGCTCAAGCCCCGCCCCCACTGTCCCCATTCTCCGCTCACCTCTCTCCAAGGACACTGCGCACGCGCCACGACGTCCCGCCTTTCTCCCCGCCCTGCCGCGGCCCCGGGGCGCAGCGCGCACGCAATCGCGTTTCCGGAGAGACCTGGCTGCTGTGTCCCGCGGCTTGCGCTCCGTAGTGGACTCCGCGGGCCTTCGGCAGGTCGGTGCAGGTCTTTGGAGAGTATTGTTTTTATTTTCTGCCACTTTTAACTTTTAGGGATTATTTAGGAGTTTCACGGCCGTCTGCTTTTCGTCCCCCCGATTCAGCGGGCCTTTATGCCGTGTGGTCGGTGCTTTTCTCCTTGGGTATTTTCTGCTTGTCTTAAAAGAGGCTGTGGATGCTCGGAGCACCTGAGCTCCTGAGGCAAAGGCTTACCCTTGTAGCATAGTGTTGCCTCGTTTCCTGGTGGTTTTGTTGCTCCAGCTCTTTAAAAGCCTCCCTTACTCAGTGCCGCCTCGAGTTAAGAACTGTGGGCAAGATCCCAAGCCCGCTGCCCTTCCCCGTTTTATGGGAAATTAATTCTTTCTTTTTTTGGGGGGTGGGGAGGGGTTCTCGCTGTGTCGCCCAGCCTGGAGTGCAGTAGCCTGAATATGTCTTATTGCAGCCTCTGCCTCCTGGGCTCAAGCCATCCTCCCACCTCAGCCTCCCAAGTAGCTGGGATTACAGGTGCATGCCATCATGCCCGATTTGTGTGTGTGTGTGTGTGTTTTAATAGAATATGGGTTTCACCATGTTGACCAAGCTGTTCTCGAACTCCTAACCTCAGGTAATCCGCCTGCCTGGGCCTCCCAAAGTACTGGGATTACAGGCGTGAGCCACTTTGCCTGGCCTAATTCTTTAAACAGAATAAACGGCGTATGCATTGCTTTCCATCTTGTTAGGTTCACTGCATACAGAATACTTTTCTGTAAGAAAATAGGAGCTGTTTTTCCAAGGGTGCAATGTCACATGTGATTCTGACTTGAGTTTCCGTGTATTTTACCCTCCCCTTCTGCCCTCCTAACGAGAACTGTGAGTTGGATGCAGAAGTTTCTAAAAAAAAAAATTGAGTATTGAAATTGGCTGTTGCATCAGTGAAGAAAAGCAACATCCCTACCACCCCTCAAAAGAGACATTAAAGTAGTTGGATTAAGGGCACGGGAGTATTTGCTTTCCGATTTAGTGATAATGTGAGTGCTTAATGAAATGACTAACACATTCCCTGATTATAGAGCTGGTCAGTGGATCTTGCTGAGTTTCCTGTGGACCTATGTGAAATGATCGGCATCTGTTCAGGGTTTACTAGGTGCTAAGCACCTTTACATGTGACATCCATTGAATGCTCACAACACCCCCAGGAAATTGGTACCAGTGTTATCCTCATGGTACAGTGAAGGATACTGAGACTTAGGTTGCATAGCCTGCAGGTTGGACACACTTCTTTCTGACTGCTGGGGAGCTGTGCTTTTAACCACTGCTGATCCGGCTTGTTTTCCCCAGATGCAGGCCTGGGGTAGTCTCCTTTCTGGACTGAGAAGAGAAGAATGGAGAAGCCCCTCTTCCCATTGTGAGTAGACAGTAAATGGTTAGAGAGTAGCCAGGAGCTTCTGGAAACCAGAGTTCCTTTCCTCAGCTGAAAAGAACCCTAAGAGTAGACTGCCTGGGATGGCGTGCGGGATGGGAGGATCACTGGACCTGTGGGCCAGAAACTTGGGTTTGAGTCCCAGCTCTAGCTTTGCTTAGTTGTGTGACTCTCAGAAAGTCATCCAACCTCTGTGGTGCTTATTTTCAGTGATAGTACCTGTGGGCACATAGGACCTGTGGGGAATGATTACCTTTTAGCCCCATCCTATGACAATATGGTTTGTTTTTAAATCCAGGTTAGCACTGACTTCTCACTGACTTCTCTTGTGTTTTCAGAGTGCCTTTGCATTGGTTTGGCTTTGGCTACACAGCACTGGTTGTTTCTGGTGGGATCGTTGGCTATGTAAAAACAGGTAGGGTTTTGTTGTTACTTAGCCTCTTAACATCTTCACGTTGTTCCAGTGAAATGTGAGTGCCTGTGTCCCTGAGAAGCAATCTCGTTTGACTCAGCTTTGCTGTAGGTCCCCAAGCTGGAGTGCAGGCTTCCTTGTCAGTCTTGCAGCTCCTGCCCTTGCCTTTTGCTTATCTGGTGAAGCTGAGCCAGGCCTCTTGTGGAATTACTTATTTTTGCCTCTTTATCTAAAGGTAGGCAGGGGTGGTTGTAGTTTGTTATTATCATTGACTGCCATTCATCAGCCATGACCCCCAAGTGCCATCTCTGGGCTTAAGTAGGAGTCAACCTCTGGCCTACACAGACTGGTATTTTGAAGTTTCCTCATTAGGCCAGGCAGGGGTGTGTCAGTGGCTGTGCTTGTTTTTGCCCCCTAGTCCTTGCCTGCATTCCCACCCCAATCCCTGCACCAGACTTCTTATTCTCCTGATCTTCTATTTTTTTTTTAACTGCCTGGCCCTATTTCCTTCTGCTTTTGTGATTTGCTGGAGGTCCTGCCTGTACACAATTCCAGCCCTTCATGGTTGATGAGGCCTGATTAGAAAGTGTTGTACTTGAGCGAGTTAGAGAAAACGCCACACTTTGAGACGAATTAAGAGTCTGTTTATTTAGCTGGGGCCTAAAAGACGGCTAACACTCAAAGTTCTCTCGGCCTTGAAGAAGGGGCTAGATTTTCTTTTATACTTTGGTTTAGAATGGGGTGGGGGGGGGGTCTAGTTAAAACAATTTTACTGAAGTAAAGTAGGCAAAAAAGTTAAAAGGATAAATGGTTACAGGAAAGTAAACAGTTCCAGGTGCAGGGGCTTTAAGACTATTACAAGGTGATGGACGCGGGGCTTTGGGCATTATCAATCGGACGAATTCCTGGGAACTGCGGATATAGCTCGCCACAGTATCTTATCAGTTAATTGCATTCTTGGATGTGCTGGGAGTCAGCTTGCACAAGTTAAGTCCTTGAGGACGGGGCTGCCAGTGAAAGAGCCAAGATGGAGTCTGTCTGGCTCTCTTAGCTAAGGAAGAGTCAATTCAGGTGGAAACAAGGCTAGGTGATTAAAGGAAAGGGAGAGTCTAAAAACAGGGTTAGTAAAAACAAGGTTAGGCATTACAAAAGAAGGCCTAGTCATAGTTCTGTCTAAGGAGGGAAGATGGCCTTCTTTCCTTTCCTTAGATGGAAGTGCCCTGCCTATTAGAGGAGAGAAAAATGGGGTGGGAAGACCCTGACTTCTCTGAGAAGATAGCACACTCTCCTTAACGCCTTCCTGCTTGAGTCCACCTTGGCTGTGAGCTGTGTTGAGAGTTCTTTGTGCTGTCCTTTGTAGGGCAGGAGGTCTGGTGGATTCCGTTAGTGAAATAAGTGCCTGACATTACAATGCAAGCTGCGTTTGCTTCCTTCTAGGCAGCGTGCCGTCCCTGGCTGCAGGGCTGCTCTTCGGCAGTCTAGCCGGCCTGGGTGCTTACCAGCTGTATCAGGATCCAAGGAACGTTTGGGGTTTCCTAGGTATGTCTGCTTCAGCGTCTCCTTAGGGCAATCATGTATCTGGAATATTCTTTTCCAAAAGACCCTGGTTTGGTGGGATGGAGCGAGTTCTTCCCACTTAATTTACGACAGTTTCACTGCTTCTCCAAGTCCAAGTCCTCAAAGTTTTAAAATAGGAGAAGGGTGGTGGGAATTGTCCTGGTTCCTGTTTATTGTTTATGTAGATAATATGGAAAGATTTCCATACCTTGTGAATTGTGTGACTCTCAGAAAGTCATCCATCCTCTGTGGGCCTTATTTTCAGTGTTTACCCAGTAGAATTAGTATCAAACTTGTATTACCCATATTTACCCAGTAAAGTCAGCATTAAACTTGTATAAGACAAATATGTGTCAACCGTTGAGGTTTTCCGCTGAAGACCATTGGCCTCAGTATCACTAAAATATCACGTATCTGGGTTAGGTTTGCAGCTGCGTTACGTTTTTCACATTTGAAAATCACCTCTTTAGCAGTCAGCTAACTAAATATATAAGACGTAGACCATGCTTTCAAGGAGCTTTCAACTGACTTCACTGGGGAAGTAAGACATGAGCATAGAAGCAGGACTGGAAAGGTACCCTGTGAGCAGCACGGACAGTGAGGACAGTGAGTGGTGTGGAGGACATAAGAGTCCTCATCAGAGTGGTTTTCAGTACATTTCTGTGGAGCTCCACCCATGTGTCAGACACTGCTATGAGTGTGGGTTCCTTGCGGTCTCTACAAACCCCGTGTGAGAATGAGTGCCATGTGGGAGGGAGAAGCCGTGTGATCTGTACATATCAGCTGGGGTGGGGAAGGGAGGTCCGTGATGGCTAATGGGGTGTGCTGGGGAAGGAGGTGTGTCCAGGTCCCAGCTCTGCCTAACAGCTCCCTCCCTCATGCTCCAGAATGACTTGAGCCTGCATTTTCCCTTTCTCTGATCCTACTCCACTCAGCAAATGACCTCACACCTATTGTAGAGAAAAAACAGCAGCCATCAGGTGGGGACTCCTGGAGCCTTTAATCTCCAAGCCTCCCCTCGTCCTGTTTCCCTCCTTTCCAACACCAGTGTCTTCCTCTGGGCTTTGGGTGTCTTCTCCCTGACCGTCTCCAGACCTTTACACTGGCCAGGATCCTGTCTTGTATTTGTATTCCTCCTTTTAGGTGGATCCCCGCATTGATATTCAGATGTGCTTGTCTCCTTCCCCTTCATAAACTACCTTTTTTTTTTTTTTTTTTTTTTGAGACGGAGTCTCACTGTGTTGCCCAGGCTAGAGTGCAGTGGCGCGGTCTTGGCTCACTGCAACCTCCGCCTCTTGGATTCAAGTGGTTCTCCTGCCTCAGCCTTCTAGGTAGTTGGGATTACAGGTGTCTCCCACCATGTCAGGCTAACGTTTGCATTTTTAGCAGGTGCAGGGTTTTTGCCATGTTGTCTGGGCTGGTTTGGAACGCCTGACCTCAGGTGATCTGCCCACCTTGGACTCCCGAAGTGCTGGGATTACAGCCATGAGGCAGCACGCCCAGCCAAGAGGGAAAGAGGGAGGGAGTGGGAGGCCAAAAGCCTACAGCACCTGGTGTTTCCCCGAAGGTGGGGTGGTAGTCTCCCATCCAAGTACCATGCAGGACCGGACCGACCCTGCTTTGCTTCTGGGATCAGACAAGATCTAGCACATTCAGGGTGGTATGGCGGTAGACCACAAACTTCTTAAAGATCATTTATGCAGCTGGGCGCGGTGGCTCACTCGTATAATCCCAGCACTTTGGGAGACCGAGGCAGGCGGCTCACCTGAGGTCGGGAGTTGGAGACCAGTCTGACCAACTTGGAGAAAGCCCCATCTCTACTAAAAATACAAAATTAGCCGGGCTTGGTGGCTGTCACCTGTAATCCCAGCCACTCAGGAGGTTGAGGCAGGAGAATCGCTTGAACCCGGGAAGTGGAGGTCGCGGTGAGCCGAGATGACGCCACTGCACTCCAGCCTGGGCAACAAGAGCGAAACTCCGTTTCAAAAAATAAAGATCATTTATGCCTCCTCTCCCATCACACATGATCAGCCCATTTCAGTCTCTGTTTCTGTCCCTGTGTTTGTGGAATAGCTCTCCCTGAGGCTGCCAGTGACCTGTGTTTGTACAAAATCCAATGTACATTTTTCAGTCCTCATTTTACTTGGCCATTTAGCAGTTCTCAGCACGGTTGACCAATCATTTTCCATTCTCCTGGTTTCCCTTTTTATCCTCTCATTCTCTTTTGGCAACCTATTTTCCTTTTTGGCCACTAGATATTGAAGTTCTTCAGGCTCTTCTTGTCTACTCACTTGACAGTTTCATTGAAGCCTATGCCTTTAATTTCCACCGATACACAAATGACACAAATTTCTCTCTCCTCCAGGCTGGACTCTCATGTATTCATCTGTCCACTTTCCTTCAGATGTCTCCAGGAATCTGCCCGGACCTAACCTCATGGCCACACACTCCCCCTGTCTTCTGTTCTCCATCCATTCGGTTCTTGATTGCTCTCTTTCCTTTCTACCACCCCCTTTCTGACTAATTCATCAGCAGGTCTTGTCGACACTACCTCTAGCCCTTATCCTGAGTTGTCCTCTTTTTCATCTGCACAGCCATCGTCCTAGTCCCAGTTATCCCCTCTTTCTTACCTGCATTCCCAAGGACGTTCCTTAGCTGGTATCCCCATGTACCCTCTAGTTTCCCTGAAGTTTGTTCTCTATAGTATAGCTAGAATTACGCTTTCAAAATGCAACTCTGGGCCGGTTGCGGTGGCTCCTGCCTGTAGTCCTAGCACTTTGGGAGGCCAAGGCAGGCGGATTGCCGAGCTCAGGAGTTGGAGACCACCCTGGGCAACATGGTGAAACCCGGTCTCCACTAAAATTAAAAAAGGCTTCAGCATTGCTTGAACCTGGGAGGTAGAGGTTGTAGTGAGCTGAGATCATGCCACTGCACTCCAGCGTGTGTTGCAGAGTGAGACTCTGTCTCAAAAAATAATAATAATAATGCAACTCTTTTTATGCATCCCTCTGCTTAGTATCCTTTAATAGCTTCTCATTGCTCTTATGATGAAAACCCAATCCTTAGTATGGCCTTCAAGGCTCTATGTGGTCTGGCGCCTCTTACTCACAAACTGCATCTTGACTTCTGTGCCACGCTGCCCTTTTAGGGTGAATGTGCCATGCTCCCTGTCACCACAGGGCCTCTGCATATACTGTCCCCTCTGCCTGGAAAGGGCATTCCCATCCTTCAGCTTATTAACGCCTGCTGTAATTTCAGATCTCAGTCAGTCTTCACTTCCTTGGCTAAAAGCCTAGCATGATCTCCCTGAATAGGTTGATCCCCCTGTTGAGCTTTTTTGTGTAGCATCAATTATACCTGAAGCACACATTGTACCTTGTTTTTCTTTGTGTGATTGTTTAAAGTCTTGTCCCATCAGACCTGAAGCATTGTAAAAGGGCAAAGACAGTTACGATTACTTTTGTATTCTCCAGCTCCTAGCACAGCGCTTGACATGTAGTAGGTGCTTTGACAGATACCCAGTGGGAATTGCATGCAGGGTAGAGGAAATAGCGTCTGCAGGGCGATAGCATCTGCAGGGCATGAGAAACAACAGCATTTTGGAGAAAACTAACACATTGATGGCTAAAGTGTGGGTTTTGCAGAAGACAAGTGGTAAGAGATGAGGCTGGAAGGGCAGGTAGGGCCCAGGCTGTGAAGGGCCCTATTTGGCCAGTATTGGTATTTGGACCCATAGGATGTGGGCAGCTAGTAATCTCCCCTACTTGGGGAAGGAGGAATAAGCATAGGATGAGGCGTGAGCCTTGAGAGATTGGTGGGGCTTGGTCTACTTCTGATTCCCCTGCGTAGAAGACTAATGAGTTTTGACCCTTCTTTGTATCTTTTTCAGCCGCTACATCTGTTACTTTTGTTGGTGTTATGGGAATGAGATCCTACTACTATGGAAAATTCATGCCTGTAGGTTTAATTGCAGGTGCCAGGTACTTTCATTCTATTACTCTTCTTTACCATGTAGAGTTCAGTTTATTGCCCAGAATACTTTATGCATTCAAAACCTTACTTGTTTCAGAGTATCTGATGCTATGCATCAACTGACGTTTGACTTATACACTAATAGGAGATGCTTCAAAAACAATAGTTGATTTAATGTCAAATGACATGAGTATATCCATTCACTGTGGAGATGGCTTTGTTCTCTGGTCCTAGCTCCTTCCTATATGGTGGCAGAAGTTTTATTGCAAAGCTATGACTGCAGCCTTTTGTGTGACTTGCGGAGGATGTGTGGGGGTCCCATATTTCTTAGGTGTGTAGGTGTCTTTTGTAGAAAATTTTGCTAAAAGGAAATTTTGATTGAATCCTGTTTTCTAATTTTGATTATAATACCTAAACCAAATTGTGGTTTTTAAAAAATGTAGTTGTAGGCCAGGCACGGTGGCTCACACCTGTAATCCAAGCACAGTGGGAGGCCATGGCGGGCATATCACTTGAGGTCAGGAGTTTGAGACCAGCCTGGCCAACATGGTGAAACTCCTCTCTATGAAAAATACAAAAATTAGGTGGGTGCGGTGGTGCACGCCTGTAATCCCAGCTACTCGGGAGGTCGAGGCAGGAGACTTGCTTGAACTGGGGAGGCGGAGGTTGCAGTAAGTTGAAATCGTGCTGCTGCACTGCAGCCTGGGCAACAATGAGTGAGAGTCTGTCTCAAAAAAAAAAAAAAGTTCACTTGTTAAGTATGATAAAGACATCCTGAAGGCAGGGGAATTTTTAAAATCCTGTTTTCAAGAAAGATTACATACTCTACTCTGATCATAGTCGTGATGCTGCCAGTATAATATTTTATACCTGAAGCAAAAGAGTCAGTATGGAGCAAGGTCTAGAACAGTAAACTGAGAGGCTGGAGTCTACCATAAATCAGATCTGTGATGGTGGGGAGGCCTTGCTTTCTCTTGCCTCCATTTCTTCATCTCTTCAAATTACTGGCAGTTGGATTAGGATCTAGCTCATGTGTGCTATTTTAAGACCTCAGTGAAACTGTCCCTTGGCTTGCTTTTTCTCTGGTTCCCCCAGGGATGGAAATTTTACCTCTGACCACTCTTGCCTTAGTACCTCCTCCCCCACACAGTTGTGAGGAACCTGCAGAGTTTAGTTCCTTAAAAACATAGTTGCCTGTTCTATCCTTTACCTGATGTTTTCTATCTTACTTGTTTTAAACAGTTTGCTGATGGCCGCCAAAGTTGGAGTTCGTATGTTGATGACATCTGATTAGCAGAAGTCATGTTCCAGCTTGGACTCATGAAGGATTAAAAATCTGCATCTTCCACTATTTTCAATGTATTAAGAGAAATAAGTGCAGCATTTTTGCATCTGACATTTTACCTAAAAAAAAAAAGACACCAAATTTGGCGGAGGGGTGGAAAATCAGTTGTTACCATTATAACCCTACAGAGGTGGTGAGCATGTAACATGAGCTTATTGAGACCATCATAGAGATCGATTCTTGTATATTGATTTTATCTCTTTCTGTATCTATAGGTAAATCTCAAGGGTAAAATGTTAGGTGTTGACATTGAGAACCCTGAAACCCCATTCCCTGCTCAGAGGAACAGTGTGAAAAAAAATCTCTTGAGAGATTTAGAATATCTTTTCTTTTGCTCATCTTAGACCACAGACTGACTTTGAAATTATGTTAAGTGAAATATCAATGAAAATAAAGTTTACTATAAATAATATTTCCTATGGTGTCTTCATTGCCAGAGCTGGTCTAGTTCATAGAATGAGATGTTGCTAGATATAGAAACTTGAAAGTATTTTGTTGATATTTAGAAATTACCTATTTTGAGTAATTTAAGGACCAAGGAAAGTTATTTGATTGTACATTGCATTGAAGCTTGTTTCAAAAATGATCTCTGAGGATTTTTTTGTTTGTTTTTTAAGAGACAGGGTCTTTCTCTGTCACCTAGGCTGGAGGGCAGTGGTACAATCATATCTCACTGTAGCCTCAAACTCTTGGGTTCAGTCATCCCACTTCAGCCTCCTGAATAGCTGGTACTACTGGTGCATACCACCTCGCTAATTTATTTTATTTTTTTGTAGAGATGGGGTCTTGCTCTGTTGCTCAGGCTGCTATCAAACTCCTGGTCTCATGCGATTCTCTCTCCTTGGCCTCCCAAAGTGCTGGGGTAATGAGCATGGCCACTGAGGATTTCTAAGATTTAGGACTGTGTAGCAAAAAAAGAAGAAGAAAAAAAGTGGTTTTTTTTGTTAATTAGTTCATATATAATTGTGAAACTAGAAGACCCATCTAGAGCTTGAATCACCTAGTTTGGGCTCTACATTGGACACATTTACTGGATACTGGTACGTTTTTAGTTCACTTTATTCATGTTTCAACATGAAGAATTAACTCAATCTGGTGCCCTTTGTTTTAGTTTTCATTCCCTCTTTAAAAAGGTAAGGAGCTGGGCGCGGTGGCTCACGCCTGTAGTGCCAACACTTTGGGAGGCCGAGATGGGTGGATCACCTGAGGTCAGGAGTTTGAGACCAGCCTGGCCAACATGGTGAAACCCTGTCTCTACTAAAAATTCAAAAATTAGCTGGGTGTGGTGGCTCATGCCTGTAATCCCAGCTATTCAGGAGGCTGAGGCAGGAGAATTGCTTGAACCCAGGAGGCTGTGGTTGCAGCGAGCCGAGATCACGCCACTGCACTCCAACCTGGGCGACAGGGTGAGACTCTGTCTCAAAAAAAAAAAAAAAGATATTTGCTACTGATTTACCCTAACTGATACTGGTTGAGTTTAGAGTATAATTCAGACACTTTATGTATTTGCATAAGCCCCTGGATGGTGGTCCTAGTTTTCCATCCTTTTTTATAGGACTCTGGACAATTAAGGGCTCTTGTGTTGCAGTGGTAGAGGCATCAGAAGGCCACAGATCATCCAAAGCTATCATCCTCCCAGGCTTCCATAGCTAAGATTTTGAGTCTCAACGTTGGCCATTTTTTCATGTGTCATGGAGTGTTTCCAAAGGGCACACATTTTTGCCACCTTCAGTCCTAGAGGAGGACCTGGCTCCTCATGAATGACAAGGTTCCCTGAATGTGGGAATTAGTTTAGGTGCCAAGTAGATCCCCATGTGACTATTTGATCCCCAGCAATCAGCCTGGAAAATTCTAAGGCTGCCCACAGATGAGAGGCAGGAGATCTTCATAGCCCTTGCCAAGTGCCCTCATCCCTGCTTCTCTGCAAAGATCCCTGAGTATTTACTGCCTAAGGGTTGTGCTGGGTCCTAGCAGTGCAAAGAACAAGCCATGGTGCTTGCCCTTCTGGAGTCTGGTGGAGGAGGTGGACATCTAAACAAAGGCAGTATAGAAATAAGTGTATGATGGAGGTAGATCCATATTACTGTGGGGGCACAAGGAGGGGAGTGGGCATTTCTGTTGAGGGAGTCAAGGTAGGCTTCACAAAGGAACCAACAGTTAAGCTGAGTCTTGTCAGTTGATGCATGAATCAGTTGACATGAACTCCTTTTGTGAGTTGTCTGAGAAATTCATAGGTAAGGACGGGGCAAATGTCTCAGAGCGAGCAATATATACAGTGCCTCAAAGGCATGAAACTATGTAGCATAACTGGGTTCAACCCTTTCCTTAGAGATCTAATTCTTTTTTTTTTTTTTTTTTTTTTTTTTGAGATGGAGTATGGCTCTTGTTGCCCAAGCTGGGGTGCAATGGTGCGATCTCAGCTCATTGCAACCTCCACCTCCCAGGTTCAAGCGATTCTCCTGCCTTACCCTCCTGAGTAGCTGGGATTTCAGGTGTGCACCACCACACCCAGCTAATTTTTTGTATTTTTAGTAGAGATGGGGTTTCACCATGTTGGCCAGGCTGGTCTTGAACTGACCTCAGGTGATCCACCTGTCTTGCCTCCCAAAGTGCTGGAATTACAGGCATGAGCCACCGCACCAGGCCAAGATCTAATTCTTTTTAATGGCTTTTAAGTTGTACGGATGATTACTATTTAGTTTACTATTCCCCTACTGATAGAAATATGTCTTGTTTAATGCCTTTGATAGCCGGGAGCAGTGGCTCATGCTTGTAATCCCAACACTTTGGGAGGCTGAGGTGGGCAGATCCCCTGAGGCCTTTGATATTACAAAGGATGGTGTACCAAGAAATATCCTCATGGAAATCCCCGTGAACATGTGCAAAGGAATCTGTAGGTTACATTCCTAAATGCTGAGTCAGAGCATCTCAGCATTTAAAATTGTGATTGCCTTCAGAAGAGGATGCACCAATTTATCCTCCCACTAGTGGTGGCTTTGTGTAATTGGACTTTGTAAAAATCTTTGACACATTAAGCTGGAAGTCTGCAAACTTGTTCTGTAAAGGGCCAGATAGTGAATATTTTAGGCTTCTCAGGCCATCTGTGTCCCAGCTGTTCACCTCTGCCTTTGTAGAATGAAAGCAGCCACAGCCAATCAATAAACGAGTGTGACTGTTCCAATAAAACTATGTATGGGCCCTGAAATCTGGATTTCATATGATTTCTACATATCACAAAATAGTCTTATTTTGATTTTTTTCAACCATTTCAAAATGCAAATCTATTCTTAGCTTGCTCTCTGCACAAAAACAGGCAATGGACTAGAATTGGCTCACTGACCATAGTCATGCCTGTAAGAGTTAAAGAAAGAAGAAAGAAACATGAAACGTGGCTTTGTAGTCAAAGACAGGTTTTCTTTACTTAAAACCTGAGAGGCTTCCCGGCTAATTTCGGTTAGGAGCACTTTCTCTTACAGACCCTGCACTTGATGGATCACCTGGCACCGCCCAAATTGATAAACTGGCTCATCTGATCTTGTGGCCCCCATCCAGGAACTGACTCAGTGCAAGACAACAGCTTGCACTCCCTATGACTTAATCTCCCACCGGACCAGTCAGCACTCCTGAGTCACCTGGCTGCCCCTGGCACACCAAGTAACCCTTAAACACTTCAATCCTTGAATGCTCTGGGAGACTGATTTGAGTACCAATAAAACTCCAGTCTCCTGCACAGCTGGCTCTGCGTGTGCTCTTTCTCTATTGCAATTCCCTGTCTTGATAACTCAGCTCTGTCTAGGCAAAGGGCAAAGTGAACCCATTGGGCCATTACAAGATTTTGTGTCTTTGGAAAGCACTTCACATTTTTATTCTTTTTTTTTTTTTTTGAGATGGAGTCTCGCTTAGTCACCCAGGCTGGAGTGCAATGGCGTGATCTTGGCTCACCACAACCTCTGGCTGCCAGGTTCAAGTGATTCTCCTGCCTCAGCCTCCCGAGTAGCTGGGATTACAGGCATGTGCCACCACACCCAGCTAATTTTGTATTTTTAGTAGAGACGGGGCTTCTCCATGTTGGTGAGGCTGGTCTCGAACTCCCGACCTCAGGTTGGGACTTCTCACCCAGGCTGGAGTGCTGTGTCATGATCTAGGTTCACTGCAGCCTCCTCCTTCTGGGTTCAAGTGATTCTTCTGTCTCAGCCTCCCGAGTAGCTGGAACTATAGGCGTGTGCCACCACACCCGGCTAATTTTGTATTTTTAGCAGAGACGGTGTTTCACCATGTTGGCCAGGCTGGTCTCAACCTCCTGACCTCAGGTGATCCACCCACCTCGGCCTCTCAAAGTGCTGGGATTACAAGCGTGAGTCACTGCCGCACCTGATCATTCATGCATTCATTCATGCATTCATCTTAGTATGGACTCATGGATATTTCTTTTTTCTTTGGGTTGTAATACTTATTTTTTTTTTTTTTTTTTTGAGACGGAGTCTTGCTCTGTCACCCAGGCTGGAGTGCAGTGGCATGGTCTCGGCTCACTGCAAGCTCCGCCTCATGGGTTCACGCCATTCTCCTGCCTCAGCCTCCTGAGGAGCTGGGACTACAGGTGCCTGCCACCATGCCCGGCTAATTTTTTTGTATTTTTAGTACAGACAGGGTTTCACCATGTTAGCCAGGATGGTCTCGATCTCCTGACCTCATGATCTGCCCACCTTGGCCTCCCAAAGTGCTGGGATTACAGGCATCAGCCACCGCGCCGGGCAATACTTAATTTTCTTGCTCAAATTGTTGCAGCTTTGGCCATTGGAAACTCAGTTGACCTCTGTGTCCCTCTGGCATAGCCAAAGGGTTTGTGTGTTTGTAGAACTTCCTTATTGTCTGGCACTACAAGACGTTCTAGGCTCATCTTGTATATTTCCTGTCCTAGTACTAGAATCAGCCATTTCTCCAAGTAGCTCTGGTTCCTTTTATTGAACAGTGGTACTGCACACCAATATCTGGACACCAATATCTGAGTGCTAGGTATGCTTATTGCTACTGGGCTGAAATCTACTTAAAACATTTTTTTACGTTATTCTTTTTCTAGCTTCCTAAATTAAATGCTCAAATTCAGCATATTTTCCATGCTCGTTTTTTTTTTTTTTTTTTTTTTTTCCACAAATAAACCATGTGCATACTTTTTTTCTGAGATCTGTTTTGGCTAGATGTGCAATGGCACAATCTTGGCTCACTGCAACCTCCACCTCCCGGGTTCAAGCGATTCTCCTGTCTCAGCCTCCCAAGTAGCTGGGATTACAGACATGCACCACCATGGCTCATAATGTTTTTGTATTATTAGTGGAGATGGGGTTTCACCATGTTGGCCAGGCTGGTCTTGAACTCCTGACCCCAGGTAATTCTGGAAAAAGAAAAACTGTGGAGACAGTAACAAGGTCAATGGTGGCCAGAGGTTCAGGGCAAGATAGGGAAGGATGAATAGGGAGAGGACAGGATTTTGAGGGAGTAAAATGATTCTTATGATACTATTATGGTGGATACATGTCCTTATACATTTTGTCAAAACCCATAGTGTACAACACAAGAGTGAACCCTAATATAAACTATGGACTTTAATTAATAACAATGTATCAATACTGGCTTATCAGTTGTAATGAATTATCTACATGAATGCAAGATGTTGATAATAGGGAAAATCGGGGAGGGGCAGATGAAGGGGCATATGGGAACTCTACTTTCTGATCAATATTTTCATAAACCTAAAAGGGCTTTTATTTTTTTTTTTTTGAGACAGAGTCTCGCTCTGTCGCCCAGGCTGGAGTGCAGTGGCACGATCTCACTGTACTGTAACCTCTGCCTCCCAGGTTCAAGCAATTCTCCTACCTCAGCCGCCCAAGTAGCTGGGATTACAGGTGCCCGCCACCGTGCCCAGCTAATTTTTGTGTATTTTTAGTAGAGACAGGGTTTTGCCATCTTGGCCAGGCTGGTCTTGAACTCTTGACCTCAAGTGATCCACCCACCTATGACTCCCAGAGTTCTGGGATTACAGGTGTGAGCCACTGTGCCTGGCCCTAAAACTGCTTTTTTTAAAGACTACTAATTAAAACAACAACAACAAATAGAATTCAGGATATAAGGTTTAAAAACATAATGAAAACACACTAGTTAGCCATATTTTTTTTAATGCCTATTCAGAGTTTAAAAGTGTCCCAGTAACAAAAGACTGCACAGCTTTGAGACATTAATTTAAACTGTACAAATACATATAACCATTACCACTAGGATAAATTACTCTTTAGATTTTAACATTTTTCAACATCTTACATCTGAACAGTTGACTCTTCTATACAAAAATATCATTATTATTTTATAATATGCCTTTGTATAATGCCCACAAGATGACACTTATTACAATAGCAGTTGTTACAAAGTCACAAAATACATAAAAATCTCAGCAGTTGGTAACATTATTATTCTTTAAAAAGAATTTACAGTACTAAGGTCCAGTCCAGAAAGTGGCAGATTTAAACAGAGTAGCCCAAAGTTCGAAGTGTCTATTTAAAATACCAGTTTGGAAATAAACTAAGGAAATAATATATGTACTATGTGATATCACTGCCCCAGCAGCTGAACGCACTTGCTTCAGAGCAAATGTGAAGGTCAGAGCTGAGTCAGTGGTCAGCAGCATGAGCTGGCTTGGGGGAACCAGCTGGCACACTTCATCTTTGTGTCTGGTAGGGACACAGAAACAAAACAATTTGAAAAGTCCAATGAACCAGCATCAAACAAACACAGTTTCCAGAACTTTCTTAATGATGTCCAGCCAAGAGAACCTTGACTTGGTTACTATTGAAGTCATCAAGCCATTGGGCTTGATTGTCACCTTGAATTCATGGGAACTGTACTGGTCAAGATCAAAACACAAGCCGTCCACTAAAATCAAGTGGCATAACTTTGATATTCTCTATGTTAAAGATAAATTTATTTCTAAAAAAAAAAAAAAAAAGCTGGGCACTGTGGCTCACACCTGTAAGCCCTGCACTTTGGGAGGCCGAGGCAGGTGGATCACCTGAGGTCAGGAGTTTGAGACCAGCCTGAGCCTGACCAACATGGTGAAACCCTGTCTCTACTAATACTACAAAAATTAGCCAGGCATGGTGGCACACGCCTCTAATCCCAGCTACTCGGGAGGCTGAGGCAGGAGAATCACTTGAACCCAGGAGGTGGAGGTTGCAGTAAGCCAAGATAGTGCCACTGCACTCCAGCCTGGACACAAGAGTGAAACATCGCCTCAAAAAAAAAAAAAAAGATATCCTGCTCAAGATTGAAATTACCATCGCTCCCATAGCTTCAAAGTAGAAAAACAAATAATTGCAATCTTTCTGTCATTGACAAAATGGCAGCGCAGAGCCTTAGTCAAATAAGAACCACAGCTGACAGCCAGCAAAGGTTGGCCCAACTGCTGTACAAAAACAAAAGACAAACCTCTTAAGCCAACCACAGCAAAGTGAAGAACTACTAAACCATTTGGGCACATACAACAAATGAAAACTAAAACACTCTAAACATTTTCTGGAAGTTGTTTTTTTTTAAGGGTTCTTATTGGATTTACTATTTATTAAATTGTAGATCAAATACTTCATACTTTGGCAAATAGTTTATTCAATACTTTGTAACATCCTACCCATATATCAACACTGTGGGCAATGATGCTAAGAAAATGCATTTCTTGGAAATAAGTAAAATAGGGGATGATTTTTGCCCTTCCAAGTACCCACTTTTGCATATTTCTTCCAGAACTCAGTAGAAATAGACATTTGTAGACATTTCCCAGGGTCAAGGAACTTGCACGTACTCTACGGAGCAATGCTGTAGGGTTTCACACCATAGACTCCTACCGGTGGCCTCCATACTTGGCCACCCAGTCTGTCCTCCCATGCACTGAGGGAATGGGCTGTGCACGGTTCACAATATTTAGGTTTTTTGCTGTAGGATTATAAGTACGTCCTGAAAACTGCCCCCGACCAGTTTTTGTGTTCCAGGTATATTCTGAAAGAAATCAGATTTGGAAAACAGGGTTTTACTCATTTGCTTATCAAACTCAAAATAAAGAAATTCATCCTCTCATTTGATGGGGAAAATCTGAATTTATGTTTAAAAGATTAACTCAGTACTCTCTGAGGCTTTTTAAATGTTAAAACCAAAAATTCTAGTGTAGTATTATGTTGACATCCATTAGAATTTCCAGTAGCTGGCCGGGCGCAGTGGCTCCTGCCTGTAGTCCTAGCACTTTGGGAGGCTGAAGCAAGTGGATCACCTGAGGTCAGGAGTTCGAGACCAGCCTGGCCAACATGGTGAAACCCTGTCTCTACTAAAAATACAAAAAAAATCAGCTGAGCGTGGTGGCGGGTGACTGTAATCCCAGCTACTCAGGAGGCTGAGGCAAGAGAATCACTTGAACCCGGGAGGCAGTGGTTGCAGTGAGCCGAGATCATACCATTGCACACCAGCCTGGGCGACAAGAGTGAAACTCCATCTCAAAAAAAAAAAAAAAGAATTTTCAGTAGCTGAAGAGCCAATATTATTCCTGGTTTATAGTGCTGACACTGCTGCTATTTTTAATATTTTACATTTAGATAGGCAACGCCAGGTAAGAAGACCAAGAAAATTTATTGGCTCAAATTCAATGGGCAACACCCACAGTGTTGGTGACTTTGTAATATCACACTGTGGTTACATCTAAATAATATTGACACAATATCACTACAGAAAAATGTATTTGGAATTGTGAATCTATAAAACTGTGGCTTCATGGAAGAACACACATGGGGTCCTATAATAGATTTCTTTTTAAACATTAAAATGTGGGTTTTAGAATGAAGATTTTTTTTTTTTTTTTTTTTTTTTTTTTTTTTTAATGAGGCAGAGTTTCGCCCTTGTTGCCCAGGCTGGAGTGCAATGGTGCGATCTCGGCTCACTGCAACCTCCACCTCCCGGGTTCAAGTGATTCTCTTGCCTCAGCCTTCTGAGCAGCTGGGATTACAGGGGCGCACCACCACGCCCAGCTAGTTTTTGTATTTTTAGTAGAGATGGGGTTTTGCCATGTTGGCCAGGCTGGTCTGGAACTCCTGACCTAAGGTGATCCACCCACCTCAGCCTTGCCAATGATCCACCCACCTCAGCCTCCCAAAGTGCTAGGATTACAGGTGTGAGCCATCGCACCCGGCCCATACTTCATTTCTCATTGGGAAAATCATGGGTGGGAACACAATTCCCTTAAATGGTAGGATCCTAAACTTTTAACCACAAGGTTGTTTCATTCATATATCTGACTGTTTAAAAATTTGTGAAAAATTTAAAATTTCTTGAACATTTGTTATCTGAACAATTTATGAGCTAAAACTGCTTCAACATTTCAAAGGACAAAGCAGGAGATCATTTTACAGACAACTTTTGATGCCTTCTTCAGTCCCTCCTTCACGCTTTCCTCACCTCGAATTGAGAGCTAAGGTATCACAGGTATTGTATCTGAGGAGGGATGTCTGCTTTTTCCATCTGGGGTTTAAATATCTCTTCACACTGTGTAGTAGCTGCCATTCTTGGATTAAACTCTAAGTGTTAATACTGAAATGAATCTGACCATTTTGTACCCCTAGCCCTAGCTATCCCATATTTACTGGCATGGTTTGCACAGTTTTTCTTAAATTTTCACTGTATAACTGGGAGTGAGGAGGGAATTCTGTGAGCATGTGGTCCTGACAAGCTACTAACTTCAGCATGGGTGAACAAGGTATTAAGTGTGGACACTCTGGGTAAGACAGCCGCCTGGCTGCCGTGTAGTTTGGTGGAGGCAGGGAGGCCAAGAGCTCCCCACTCCATGGTTTGACAGGTCCTTTCATTCCACTCTTTTTACTGGGCTTAAAATTCTCAAAGTCAAAGCCACTAAAAAGCTATCTAACAAAGTCAGGGACAATGTGTCTACAAGGGCCAGTCAGGGCACCATGTTTTCCAGAAAGAGCCCTTTAGTTATAGCCATTGGAATAGAAACGAGCATCTGTCTGCTAAATTAGTGAGCTCACCCATGTGGGCCACAGGTCAAACTGGTAGCAGGGGTAGAAGAGACAGCGTGGGAGGGGAGTAGAGAGCGGGGAGAGAGGCAATAAGCCCCGCTTATTCAGGGAGGGAAAAGGGAACGTGGCATTAGGCTAATGGGTGTGGCTCTGAGGGCAAGAAGTGAGAGCTTTGGGGAGTAACAAAAAGAGAAGCCTTTTTCCAGGTCATGATATCACCTAAGTCCTAAATGGTTTTAAATGAAATTGTGTCCAGGACAATATTTTGTAAAACTTTTTCAAGAGGGAATCATTTTGCTAAGAAGGGGGTAGTGTTGAGATTTAGGATTCCTTTCCTAGATATACTAGAATTTCAGGACTCAAGTACCTTTGGTGAAGAACCTAACAGCTGAGAGGAGCCCAGATCTCGTGGCAGGGCAAGAAGTGCTTTTGTGCCTTAGTGGGACCACCCCACACCTCACTGCCCTGCAAGAGCGGGAGGGATAGTGAGCCTTGCAATGCTTGCTCTGTGTTTAAAAACTGCATCTGTCCTATCAAGGACATTTAACTTCTTGTAGAAAATCTATGCTAAAGGAAAGAAGTTTGCCTCTAGTTATGGATTTAATTGATGCCACTGTGATACAACTTTTAGCAACATATAAAACTTGTGTGAGATGCGGATCATAATAGTACCTCCTGGAATACAGCCCTGGGAGGATTAATGAGTTAATGTACACAGAGTGCTTAAAACAGGATCCTGCACTTCTAAAGTGATCCTAAAGGGTGCTGTGTAGAACAGAAGTCACTCCTCGAAGTCCTTGTTAGTTTCAAGGCAGGGGATAAGGAAGTATTAGGGGAAGGAGAGATTACATGGGAGGGAAGACATTGATTTTCCTTCTCAAAACTTAAAGGGTAGAGGCCAGGTGCGGTGGCTCATGCCTGTAATCCCAGCACTTTGAGAGGTCGAGGCAGGCAGATCACGAGGTCAAGAGATCGAGATCATCCTGCCCCATCTCTACTAAAAATACATAAATTAGCTGGGCGTGGTGGCACGCACCTGTAGTCCCAGCTACTCCGGAGGCTGAGGCAGGAGAATCGCTTGAACCCGGGTGGCAGAGGTTGCAGCAGGGAGCTGAGATCACGCCACTGCACTCCAGGCTGGTGACAGAGCGAGACTTTGTCTCAAAAAAAAAAAAAAAAAAAAACAAAAACAAAAATCTTGAAGGGGAGAAAGAAGAGCAAAGACGAGACTATGCAAGAAGGGGGAAATAGTTGAGTAAATATGGTAATGACCTGGTTTTATTTTCTTGTGGGAAACTGTCACCCAACTGGCATGACTGGAAGACACATCTCTTACAGAACAGTGTTTTTTCTAAGGATTTGCATTGACCACTTGAGAGTGATTAATATTTACTTCATTTTTTACCTTTCCTCCTATCACCATCTGTAGAAAAATCTGATAAGCAGAGTAAAGAAATAAAAAGTTAAGAAAAAGCATTTACTTAAAAAAAATGAAAACAGGAATATGCATGCTAATTGGATAGAATAATTAATATATAAAGGCCTTCAATATCTTACAAAAATATTTTTTAAAAGACCCACTCTTGATTTATAAGAGTAGATACCTAGGTAACAAAATAATTTGAAACATTATGATTTTCTGCCTTTATATTAAAAATATAAAATGTGGCCGGGTGCAGTGGTTCATGCCTGTAATCCCAGCACTTGTGGGAGGCTGAGGCAGGTGAATCATTTGAGGTCACGAGTTCAAGACCAGCCTGACCAACACAGTGAAACTGCGTCTCTACTAAAAATACAAAAAAAATTAGCTGGGCATGGTGGTGCATGCCTGTAATCCCAGCTGCTTGGGAGGCTGAGGCAGGAGAATCGTTTGAACCCGGGAGGTGGAGGTTGCAGTGAGCTGAGATCACACCACTGCACTCCAGCCTGGGCAACAGAGCAAGACTCCATCTCAAAATAAATAAAATTTTATATTTCATATAAATGAATGGCTCATAAGGCTGGCTTAAATATTTGAGGCCTTATAAAAATCACTGCTGTATATAAAATGTTTACTTATTTTGTTTCAGCGAAAAGATAATGAAGCAATTCTTTTCACAGATAAGGTAACTGTAGTACTATTTAAGCAGTTCTATTGCGGCAAGAAATAAAAAAATAAAGAAGTCCAGGCTTTATACATTTTTAGCTCCAATAGTGTGAACTTTAAAGACTGGCACATCTAATCAGGGGTTTTAATATAAGATAGTGGTTAGGATAGGCTGTGAGCACACTTTCAGAGTCAACTTTTAAATTAAACTACAGGCCGGGCATAGTGGTTCATGCCTATAATCCCAGAGTTTTGGGAGGCCAAGGTGGGAGGATTGCTTGCGCCCACGAGTCAAGATCCAGCTTGGGCAACATAGCAAGACCCTGTCCCTACAAAAAACATTTTTTTTAATTAGCTGGGCACGGTCGTGTGTGCCTGTAGTCCCATCTACTCAGAAGGCGGAGGCAGGAGGATCACTTGAGCCCAGGAGTTCGAGGCTGCAGTGAACCATGATTGCATCCCTGCACTCCAGCCTGGGTGACAGAGCAAGGCTTTTTCTCTATAAAAAAGAATTAAAATAAATAAATTAAACTACAATTAGGTATCTTATTAAAGTTCTAATGATTGGCTTTAATGTTTATTTTTGGTGCTTCACTAAGAATATCTATTTCAGATTCAAATGATTCGAAGACCATTCATGGTCAAATCTGATTGGCTTAAGTACAGAATCATCACCCTCCATTTCAAGTGTGTACCCCCACATGTGGCTGTCACATGCCACACCACTGGGGAGCAAGCTTACCTCAGTTAGGCATAACGCTGGAGGGTGGAGGGATAAACCCTTCCCCCTGAATACTATTGCAAAGCAAAAGGCAGGGTGTGAAAGTCCTGCCACCGCTAATTTCTACGCCCTAAGATGGAACTGTAGAGACACACCTCATGTTAACTCATTCATAAATAGAGTGTCAGCATTTATTAAGCTTTCACCCTGTGCCAGGTCCTGGGCAGAGGGCTCTGGAAAAGGCATTTTCTCACATCTCTCTGTGCAGCACAGCACACTCTTTGGAAGTGGATTAAGTTGGGTTTCTATCCCAGCTCCACTAGCTGTGTGACCTCAGGTAAGTTACTTCACCTACATTTCATCATCTGTAAAGAAGAGATCTAGCTACATCATCAGGTTATCATGAGGATTAAATGATATAATTCCAGTAAGCCCTTTACACTGTGCCTGGCAGAGAGTCACCACTTAATTAGTGGTAGCTCTTATAATTATTAGACCCTCAAATCCTCATTTTTGGAAGAAAAATAGGACATTTCGGTAAAAACAAAAAGAAATGCGTTAATGAGGTGAGGCTGACTAAAAGTCTTCGCTTGGGAAAAGTGACTGCATAAACTTAAAAAGGAAAATGTTCCTTTCTGCTAGGAATCTAGAAAACTGTATCTGAAGTTGTTCCTACCTGAAGCCGTTGCATTGAGAGGTGCTAAGTGGATCCTCTGGCCAGCTGACTGCACTTCTTTTTTGAGAAAGGAAGGAATATATCCTGACTGATTGTAAGTAGCATAACTTCCAAGATTTCCTAGTGACATATCATAAAGTTTCACAGTCAGAAGGTGAATATTTTAGGCACAGTAGAATAACATTGAATACTACCCCATTACTTCTAAATACTATTTTTCAGCATCTACTATGTTTTAGGCACTGAGCTGCACTTGTTACAGATATTCTTATTCCATCCATACAACAGCCCGCTTAGATCATATTAGTATCCATATCGTGTGGCTCTCCAATGTTGAGTAACTTGCCTAACTTCTCACAGTTAGTAAGAGACTGAGCTGGGGTCTGAACTCAAGGCCCAGGGGTGTTCAGTTCACCCTGAACACGCCAGGCTTTCTCACGACCCCACTTCTTCACATGGGGGTGTATTTCCCACTGCGAAGCCCCTATCTCTGAAGTGCTCTCTGTGTCTGTCTTCATTCTGTAAAATGGTTGTAAGTGGACCTATTCTCGTAGGGTTGTTGTAGGGATTGATGAGACTCTTCAGAGCACGTGGCATAGAATCTGTACGCATTAAACGTCAGCTAGCATAATTGCCATCATTATCAACACCATCATCATCATCACTATTGGTGAATGCTCAATCTGGCGTTAGCATAGGGATGCATTGATGAGGAAAAATCTAAAGTCTGGAGACCAGTGAGGAAGTCACTGCTAAGAGCTGAAATGAGGGAGGATGAGGGTCTGAACCACAGCAGTGGCAGAGGGTGAAGAAGAAGGGAACTAAGCAGGTTCACGGGGTGGAGGTGGTAGGGAAAGAGGGAAATATAAACTCCTAAGTTTGCAGCTCAGGTGACTGGGGGGTGCGTTGTCCATGAATAGCAACATAGGAGGAGAATCAGGATTGGGGGAAAGACATGGTACCCAGAGGACATTCATGTTGTGGCAGGCAGAGGGCAAGTGGGCAGGCGTGGAGATTGGTGATGATCAGGGTGTGGTGGTTACAGAGTTGTGGGCTGAAGGAGCCAGCTCAGAGGCACTGCGAATGTGCAGAGACCTGGAGTAGACCCCCAAGGAACACCAGCATTAAGGGACAGGAGAGAAAAGGACCTCATGGAGGAAGAGAACAGGTAGAGAGGTGGATGGTAGGAGGAACAGGGTATGGAAATCCAAGAGAATACACACTGAGTGTGGAAAAAAGGAATGGGAGATGAGGCAGAGAGCTCGGATAGGACCAGCACCGCCCCTGGGATCTGGCCACTAGGATGTCAAGATCTAGCAGGAGCTGCTGCACTGGCAGGAAGCAGACTGAAGACAAACGACAACCAGAAGCAATAGGAGGAGCTAGCTCTGCAGGAAGGGAGACAGGTTTATCTCTAGAAGGCGAAATGGGGCTCTGATCACCCTCGTGGTTTCAAAGCACTGTTCAGTAAACAGTGTTTTCTCTATAGCGTTATCTGTTTACACGTCTCGACACTGGGCTCTGTGTCCGTTGTCTCTCACGGCATATCAGGCTTCAACAGGTGTCTGCTCTTGAAGCAACAAATGTCAAAGCGCAATATTATGTTATCAGCCCCTAAAGGGTTACATACAGTGAGCACATGCTCTCAGTCTATACATGTTTAACCCTACTGAATTTTGTGTAAGTTCAGCTGCCTACTTTAACCTTTTTCCCATCTCAGAAACTCATTCTGAAACACTAATCAGTTCTTTACTTCAGAAAAATTTTCGGAAGGAAATTCAAAGCAGTGATTGCATTCACTAGCAGCTTCAGTCATGTCTCTTGCTCTCATCCTCATCAGCAGAGCAAACACTTATTAAATGCTTAGCATGTGTTAAAATTCCAGGTAGGGTTATGTAAGAATACCTAAGGAAATTTCGTCCGTTTTATGGACGGGAAAGCTGGCTTAAACAACTTGTCCCAAACCACAAAAGCTGGTGAGTGACAAAATGGGATATATCAGACTCTAGGATTCATGCATTATGATGCTTCTTATTGGAGAAAGAAGTTGTTAGGGAAAAAACATGAACAGAAAATTAAGTCTTCTTAAATTATTTTGGCTTATTATTTGAAGTACCTTGTATGCTGTGAATTTTCAGATTGCAGCCAGTTGTTAGCACTGTTGAAACCAGTAACACTGAACCCCTAGGAAATCCACCATCTCTATTAACCCAGTTAACCTTTTTTTTTTTTTAATTTTTATTTATTTATTTGAGATGGAGTCTTGCTCTGTTGCCAGGCTGGAGTGCAGTGGCGCAATCTTGGTTCACTGCAACCTCCGCCTCCCGGGTTCAAGCGATTCTCCTGCCTCAGCCTCCTGAGTAGCTGGGATTACAGGTGCATGCCACCACACACAGCTAATTTTTGTATTTTTAGTAGAGACACGGGTTTCATCATGTTGGCCAGGATGGTCTCTATCTCTTGATCTCATGATCTGCCCGGCTCGGCCTCCTGAAGTGCTGGGATTTCAGGTGTGAGCCACCGCGCCCAGCCTAACCTTTTTAAAAAAGTGGTTGTTCATGCTTAAGAAATGAGTTTCAGAACTTTGAAAAAAAAATTCCAGGAATATAGATCGCAAAATTAGAAAATACTCTTTTGATTCTTTTCATTAGAATTATTTGCTTGATTTCCTCTATAAATTTCCGTAATTAATTTAAGAAGACCAGCACAGAGCTTTTTGAGAGCATATTCATCTTAAAATCTCAGTTACTGAAGGAAGATATTCTTGATGAGACAGAATGCTTTTCTTTATCTTAGTCCTGATCTGACTTCTCAAAGCGGATCATCTCGGCCTTTTATGTCAGGATTAGGGGCAAATGTTGAGAAGAAAATCAGACAAGAGATTCAAAGAACAAACTGCATTCATCTGACGCCCAGAAATTACCTTGTGGGTCCTCTAATTTTTCAGGAAAAGTTTCATTGCATGATAGTTTTTCGATTGGTTTAATTATGCTTTCTTCTAAAGAGAAGACAGATGGAAAGAAAGAATAATAGTAAGGAGAATGTTATAGGAAAAGCAGAGAAAAAATGGATTAGATGATTAATGAAAAGATCCAGAAAGAGCCCTTAAAAATGCAAAAATGTCCCCATTGTTGTCACAGCATTTATTTGATGCCAACTGTATATTCCCTTGAGACTCAAAGTTGTTCTACTGTCATTTAATTGAATTTGTGTAACTGGTTGGTTCAGTGAATATTAATTTTAATTATCTGAAGAAAAAATAAGTAAATTACAGTGCTGCAGTGTATGACACCGCAGCGACATTAAATGGATAAACTGAGTTTTTAAAGAATCTGGAAAACTTGTAAAAAGCCCAAATATATTGATGTCACATCAGAATATCTCACTAAACTACTCACTTATAATGGTAATTGTCAAAGTTTTTTGATCCAATATCACCTACATTAAAAAACAAACTGTACCTCTTCACACACTTTTAAGTTGATATTTAAAATTTTTAATCATAAGTTTAACAGTTGCAAAGGATGTTATTTCTGACATATTGTAACTATAGGCATTTAAAAAATAAAACTATTAGTGATTTTTTTTTTTTTTTTTTTGAGACAGAATCTCGCTCTGTCGCCCAGGCTGGAGTGCAGTGGTGTGATCTCGGCTCACTGCAACCTCCACTTCCTGGGTTCAAGCGATTCTCCTGTCTCAGTCTCCTGAGCAGCTGGATTTATAGGCGCATGCCACCATGCCTGGATTTTTTTTTGTGTGTGTGTATTTTTAGTAGAGACAGGGTTTCACCATGTTGGTCAGGCGGGTCTCGAACTCCGGACCTTGTGATTCGCCCACCTCGGCCTCCCAAAGTGCTGGGATTACAGGAGTGGGCCACTGCACCTGGCCAAAACTATTAGTGATTTTATGTCCTCCAATATTGACATAAAAATACATGAACAAGTTCCTTTTTGATGCTTGGACATTTCACATTAATTCTTTTTTCCCTTAAAATTATATCTTTATTTATACCTCAGCTTCCAAATTTTATCCAAATGTAATCTTAGGCTTAAAAGTCTAAAATTGGTCACTCTAAAATATGTGTAAATTAAAACTTTTTTTAATTTCTTGTAACCATAAGGATATTAACATACTGTACAAAGTTATAATTACAATGATTCATTGTATATAATTAATCAAAAAAGTTGAGTATTATATATTTTGATTACTAAACACGAAAATTAAGTTTTTTGCAAACACATCTCTTAATGAGAAAGGTGGGGTTATTTTCAAGTAGTTCATGTATCAACAAATGAATATTTATTGCTGGAATCACAGCATCAGGGCTATTTTCTCTCTCTTTTCTTTTTTCTTCCTTTTTGGAGACAGAAGCATTAAGAAATCTTGCTAATACAAATAGATAGTTGGGAACAAAAGCGGTTTTGTGATAGCTTTGCCACTCTATTCTTCAAACGCTCTTCAAAATTACAGACCAAAATTCATATACTGATCTCATAAAAAAAAATTAAAAAAACTTTTTAAATTACCTGTCAGCTAACAATTCAAGTAGGTCCTCCTTCAATTTTCTAAATGCTGAGAACTGTTAAGACTCCTTGACTTTAAAAAGGACCTGTTCCTCAGTCATCAAATCAAAGTTACTTACTTTCTCAACAGTGACATCAACATACCAGAATTTCCATTTCATTGGCACCCCAGATATTTTTACATTTTGGGGAAAAAGAAAACACACCATGGTAGCCAGTGAGAAGTCTTCTTTTCAGAATAGAAACTCCTTGCTAGGGCAGACCCATTTCAGGAAAGATTCAGATGGAGGTCGAGAATTCCCTTAAAACTAGCTGTACTCAAGAATTAGTGGGAAAACCTTTTTTTTATTATTGTACTTTTTAATATAGAGGCACAGTTCCACCATGTTGGCCAGGTTGATCTCGAACTCCTAGGCTCAAGGGACCTGCCCACCTCCGCCTCCCAAAGTGCTGGGATTACAGGTGTGAACCACCATGCTCATCCAGCTACAAACAGTTTTATTGAAGAGGCAGTGTTACAACTCCATGACTGCTCCAGCAGAGCAGGGCTACCCATAGGCAGAGTGTAGTGGAAAACCTTTGTGTATCTCCCAAGTGCACATGTATCTTGGTTGGAAGAGCACTGCAATATATTTAAAAGTAGACCTCTATAAAGGAAAACCCCGTACATGTACATTTTGTATTCTTGCGTTACCTGCATTGCTCCTTTTGAAAGCAAGTTCTGCCCCAACGGGTCCCAGTGACTTGGGGAATAACTGGTTGCTCCAAGTGTGGGGGTTTATTTCCTTTCCACTGGCTATCAAGGACACCTTCTTGGGATTCACACCTGAGAAGAACAAAACAACCACTTCAAAGGTTAGAGCAGATCATAAACTTAAAGGAAACTTATGTAATACATTCAAACAAAGACTAGAGACACCTTGGACAGGAGAATGGAAATAAATCTAGGTGAAAATGTAGCAGATACTTGCTTTCTGATGAACCCTAACATGATACCAAGCCCTTAGCACAACCACCTGGAATGTTGACAGTGTACTTTATAGGCAGAAGATATTTTCTACAATATAATAATAACACTTGATGTTCTTGCTAAGGGTCTTGTAAAAATTGAGATGGCACAAAAATTTTTCTTCAACAACACGACGTTTTTTTTGTTTTGTTTTGTTTTGTTTTGAGACAGGGTCTCTCTCTGTCGTCCAGGCTGGAGTGCCATGGTGTGATCTTGGCTCACTGCAGCCTCCACCTCCCAGGTTCAAGTGATTCTTGTGTCTCAGCCTCCCGAGTAGCTGGGATTACAGGCACCCACCACCATGCTTGGCTAATTTTTGTATTTTTAGTAGAGAGGGGATTTCACCATGTTGGCCAGGCTGTCTCAAACTCCTGGCCTCAAGTGATCCGTTCACCTTGGCCTCCCAAAGTGCTGAGATTACAGGTGTAAGCCACCACACCCGACCCAACATGACATTTTCATGTCACTTGTTTTGAGCGTATATTCTTGGCCCAACCCTTGGTGTAGCAGGGAAAACAGACACGTGACTAAGAACTCAGGAAAACCTTTGAAGTTCGGAGGTATGAAGCTCCACCTGAAACGCTTATTTGTATATGAGATACAGTAAAATGGAAACAGTTTATCCCCTGTGCGCCAGAAAGAAGTCATTGCAAATGTACTTGGAAAAAGAACAGTTTAAATTACTTATGATTTTCTGAAATCTGTGAAATGTCCATTCAGCCTTGGGCCGTGATACTAGTGGTCAAAGGGAGTTGTTTCAACCTGTTCTTAAGAGACTGAAAACTTCTTGAGCTTGTTTTCTTTTCACTGATAATTAAATTAGAGTGAACTTGAGCAGTCTATGCCTTTTGGTCATTCACGGAGAGTTTTCTTTATCTAGTGTAGAAATCATCACTGAGGACTCCACTGATTTAGGAAGTCAGAACTGTCTCCAGGCAGTTGAGCTTTTGCTTTCCGCGAGCTGGATTCCTTAGAAAGGTTTCATATGTATGAGATATATAATAATATCCCTTATTTTGAAACCAGAAATACTGCACCTCAAAAGTTACCCATTATCAGTTCTCTAAGGAAACACTTCATCAGGCAAGTAATTTCCCTTTCTTTATAGGATATAACTTCCCTAATAAAACACCTACAAATCGAACTATTATAGGCAACTACCAGCTGGGTGCGGTGGCTCATGCCTGTAATCCCAGCACTTTGGGAGGCCGAGGCGGGCGGATCACGAGGTCAGGAGTTTGAGACCAGCTTGGCCAACATAGTGAAACCCCATCTCTACTAAAAACACAAAAATTAGCCAGGCATGAGACAGGAGAATCGCTTGAACCTGGGAGGCAGAGGTTGTGGTGAGCCCGAGATCGCACCACTGCACTCTAGCCTGGGCAACAGAGTGAGACTCCATTTCAAAAGAAAAAAAAAAAAGGCAACTACCTAACCATAAAGATGCACTTGGTGGCAATTACTCATATTAAAACATCTTTAGGCCAGGCACAGTGGCTCATGCCTGTAATCCCAGCACTTTGGGAGGCTGAGGGAGGTGGATCACCTGAGGTCAGGAGTTCGAGACAAGCCTGGCCAACATGGTGAGACCCTGTCTCTACTAAAAGAATACAAAAAAAATTAGCTGGGTGTGGTGGTGCCTGCCTGTAATTCCAGCTACTTGGGAGGCTGAGGCACGAGAATCACTTGAACCCAAGTTGTGGAAGTTGCAATGAGCTGAGACTGTGCCACTGCATCCAGCCTGGTCTACAGAGCAAGACTGTCACAAAAAAAAAAAAAAATGTATTTACCCAAAAAGGAAGTGCAAGGTAGGGGTAAAACATTAAAAATCTGTGTGAACACAGTTGTCATAACAAAGAATGAGTTCTGAATATTTAAATGATGTTGTTAATCCAGTTGGCCTTGGCAATATTCCTAAATAGGCTTTTTTTTTAAGTATTTTAAAGTAAAAGGTAAGTAAATTATTGAAGATAACTAGTTTAATTCAAGGTTTGTTTTGTTTTCTTTTGTTTTGAGACAGACTTTTGCTATTGTTGCCCAGGCTGGAGTGCAATGGCGTGATCTCAGCTCACCAAAACCTCCACCTCCCAGGTTCAAGTGATTCTCTTGCCTCAGCCTCCTGAGTAGCTGGGATTACAGGCATGCGCCATCACGCCCGGCTAATTTTGTATTTTTAGTAGAGACAGGGTTTCTCCATGTTGGTCAGGCTAGTCTCGGACTCCCAACCTCAGGTGATCCGCCTGCCTCAGCCTCCCAAAGTGCTGGGATTACAGGTATGAGCCACCTCGCCTGGCCTCAAGGTCTATTTAAGATAAAGATTCCAATTTTGTTGGAAATAGATATATCCTAGAATTTTGTTATTTATTTGTTTATAAGTTTTCACTGGGTACCTCCTACAAACCAAACACTGTTAGGAAGAAGCATAAATTAATTTGATATTATAATGATAGATGTCATTACATGATGATAATCACTTGCCTCAAAGGACATAAAAAAGTCAGTTAGCAAATATTTACTGAGCACCTACCAGTGCCAGGCAGTGCGTGGCATTGGAGAAAAAGTGCTAAACAAAATAGACCAGTTTCTACTCTTTGGCTCTTAGAATCTAATGAGAAGGGAGACAGTTTTAGTCATAACTAAGTAAATACATAATGAGCAGGGTGCATCATGTTTAGAAGAATCTGGGGTGGAGGGGGCAAATAACAGAAGCAACTCAGCCAGTCTTTCTTTCAAATAAGCAATTTTAAGCTGAAATGTGAATCATGATTAACCCTCATTTATGCCTGAGGTTGCAATTTTTTGAAATTTTGCAATCAGACCTTGGCGATGACCTTCAGCAGTAGGATACAACTCCCACATGCTTAGCGTTCCAATAATGGAACACTAGGCATAAATGTGTTTTAAGGGGTGGGGAGGTGCGATCCTTGAAGAGGCAACAGTTTGGGCAGAGGACCTGAGATGGGAAAGAACTCAGAGATGGCCAGTAAGGCTGCAGCAAGAACACGGGGTGGTATAAAATGAGGCTGGAGAGGGGAGGAGGGGCAGGCCACACAGGATTTTGTGTGCCGTGTTAAGAAAGTGAAAAAGCAGAGGCTAATGTAGAAATGACACAGGATGTTGAATAAACAGGGTGGAAGGAAAGATGGTGAATAATGAATGGGAAGAGAGAAGGATGCACAGATCAGTTTCATAAGTGCTATGGAGGCCAGGTGCGGTGGCTCATGCCTGTAATCCCAGCACTTTGGGAGGCTGAGGTGGGCGGATCACTTGAGGTCAGGAGTTTGTGATCAGCCTGGCCAACATGGTGAAACCCCATCTCTACTAAAAATACAAAAATTAGCTGGGCATGGTGGCGTGTGCCTGTAGTCCCAGCTACTTGGGAGTCTGAGGCAGGAGAATCACCTGAACCCAGGAGGTGGAGGTTGCAGTGAGCTGAGGTGGTACCACTGCACTCCAGCCTGGGCAACACAGCAACACTTCGTCTCAAAAAAAAAAAAAAAAAAAAAAAAAAAGAAGTGCTATGGAGTGAGCTGCTCCGGCCAGCAGTGGTGGCATCGATTCATGCCCAGAGTCCCGGCTCTAGGAGCAGGGGGTGAGACCAGAGGGCACTGCTGAGAGATTAGCTTTCAATTGCATACTGTATTTGCAACTATCTTGTGATAATTAAAGTACCTAAGGCTTACAGAGTGAGCTGACAGATGGTGCAGTCCCATCGTAAGTTACAGAAAACAGAATCTTGCTCCAAGTACACAGCCGGTTAGTAGTAGCAGGTCAGTAACTATGACTCTTGCGTCTCTTTCCCTGAAGGCCAGTGTCACAGATCCGCCAGTCCTTGTAGTATAATGTCATGCTGCCCTGCAATTATATGGTACATTTCTAGAGCTCCCAGAATCCTAAAAGTCGATGCTTAATAAGACCTTTTATACTTGGCTTTAGGGTAAAGAGGGGGCCCCAAAAGATATTAGTATTTTTTATTCCTGAAGATACTCAATTACAAAAATAACTATGGATCATAAATAAATGTCAAGGATTGTTTCTTTTTTTAAATTTTTTTATTTTTTGAGACAGTTTCACTCTTGTTGCCCAGGCTGGAGTGCAATGGCACTATCTTGGCTCACTGCAACATCTGCCTTCTGGATTCAAGTGATTCTCCTGCCTCAGCCTCCTGTGTAGCTGGGATTACAGGCACCCGCCACCATGCCTGGCTAATTTTTTTGTATTTTTAGTAGAGACGGGGTTTCATTATGTTGGCCAGGCTGGTCTCGAATTCCTGACCTCAGGTGATCCACCGGCTTTGGCCTCCCCAAAGTGCTGGGATTACAGGCGTGAGCCACCGCACCCGGCCAAAGATTGCTTCTTATTCAGGTTTCTATCCTCTGCATAGTTGCTGGTTCACAATAGGTGCTCAATAAATGTCTGTCCAGGTGACTGAACTGAGCCTGATTCTAGTTTTAAATTTCATCCAGCTCCAGAGGGGTCATCTTCAAAACCACGACCGCCAATAGGTGACAGTAAGGCTCAAGTTTACATTCCAAACAATTCTTTGTAATTGAGTTTACTTTTTAAATCTCAATTATAGCCATCCTTCTGATCCCAAGTAATTTGCAGACTTTGTTAGATTTCTAGTTAAAAAGGAAATGATCAAACAGGTCTCAGAAAACCACATTAGGAAGCAGAACTATGAAAACAGGGTGCTTTGGCTCAAAGGATAAATATCCTTTGACAAAAGTTTGCAGTAGTGTTTCCTACTACTCACTTCTGTAAGTAAGAAGATACTGATTTGCAATATTTCAGTCAGTGAAATGTACTGGTTTTTTTTTTTTTTTTTTTTGAGACAGAGTCTTGTTCTGTTTCCAGGCTGGAGTGCAGTAGGGCGATCTCAGCTCACTGCAGCCTCCACCTCCCGGGTTCAAGCCATTCTCCTGCCTCAGCCTCCTGAGTAGCTGGGATTACAGGCACACACCACCACGCCCAGCTAATTTTTGTATTTTTAGTAGAGACGGAATTTCACCATGTTGGCCAGGATGGTCTCAATCTCTTGATCTCGTGATCCACCCGCCTTAGCCTCCCAAAGTGCTGGGATTATAGGCGACAGCACCCGGCAAAATGTACCAATTTAAACAAACAAAAAAACAAAAAACACAGTGAAAACTATCTCTCATGAACCTATGTTTTGAAAACTTTCTTCCATCCTTGCTTTTGCAGTCAGATTAAAACTCTCTCAGAATTTCTTTTTTCTTTTTCTCTCTCTCTCATGATTTCAACACCAAAATTTACACACAGGTGTCTAAAGATTACAATAACAAGGATTTCTGCTGCTTTCAAAAGTGTGCCCCAACCCTGGTCTTGATCCCAACTCCTCTCCCACCTTCCTAAGCTCTTCAGTCCCTCACTCATCCCCCTTCACCTCCTGTGTTACTAGTTCCTCCTCTGTAAGGGATCTTGCTCCTCTACACGCAAACCTGCTCGGAGCACTGCTGAAATGCTTCATTCCATTTCTAAGCTCCTCTTCACAGCCATCTAAGATGAAGCAGCCAAAATGAGGCCTGCCATGTTTACAGTCTGATTATCAAGAAATATGGGCAGATTTCTCATTCTGTGAGTGTCATGATGTGACAACTTCCTATACAAAAATGTTAGAATAACTTATTTTCTCTCACTTTCAAGAATCAAAGCATAATGTCACAAATAGAACAGTTTTCAAACTGTAGGTGAAACTATAGTCAGGAAAATTTGACCTCGTGAGGAAGAAAATACAGACTTCAAGGTCAAAAGTAGATTTTTTTTTTTTTTTTTTTTGAGACAGAGTCTCACTCTGTCACCCAGGCTGGAGTGCAATGTCACAATCTTGGCTCACTGCAACCTCTGCCTCCTGGGTTCAAGTGATTCTCCTGCCTCACCCTCCTGAGTAGCTGGGATTACAGGCACCCAACACCACGCCCGGCTAATTACTGTATTTTTAGTAGAGACAGGGTTTTGCCATGTTGGACAGGCTAGTCTCGAACTCCTGACTTCAAGTGATCCGCCTGCCTCAGCCTCCCAAAGTGCTGGGATTACAGGCATGAGCCACTGCACCTGGCCTCATTAACTATTTTAATAAGATACTTGTAAATTGACTTGGCATATACTACCAATAAGATATGTATACATTTTTTCATCTGTTTCTCTATCCAGACACACACAAACAAGACCCAGGTTTTTTCAGGCCCACTTCCCATGTCTCACTCTGGTGCCACAGAGCCTAAAAATGTGCTTACATCAACAACGACAAAAAATATTATAGGGCTGGGTGTTGTGGTTCACGCCTGTAATCCCACCACTTTGGGAACGAGGTGGGTGGATCACCTGAGGTCAGGAGTTCAAGACCAACCTGGCCAACATGGTGAAACCCCGTCTCTACTAAAACATACAAAAATTAGCCGGGTGTGGTGGTGAGCGCCTGTAATTCCAGCTACTTGGGAGGCTGAGGCAGGAGAATCGCTTCAACCCAGGAGGATGAGGTTGCAGTGAGCCAAGATCGTGCCACTACACTCCAGCCTGGGCAACGAGTGAAACTCTGTCACACACACACACACACACACACACACACACACACACACACACACACAGACACACACCAAAACTATTTAACCTATTTAGATCGCCAAATACCCAGGGTTATAAAGTTTTTGCTGTTCTTGATGGCTTCATGCCAATTTCTTCAACCTCTCAAATACAAATACGTGTCTTCCTCCTTACAAATCAGCACAGGACTGCAGTCCTAAAGCCTCAATTCACCCCCTGTAAGTTTATATCAACTTATTCAACACCTGTGGCTAAACCTATACACCCACCGTGCCTTCTGTTTTCTCTCCCATTCATCTCTAAACCCTCTACTTGCTTTCATTTTTTTTCTTTTCCCCAATTACTAACAGCAAGAGAGGGTCCCAACTGGATTTTTTTTTTTTTTTTTTTTTGACACAGTCTTGCTCTGTTGCCCATGCTGGAGTGCAGCGGTGCCATCTCGGCTCACTGCAACCTCCACCTCCTGGGTCAAGCAATTCTCCTGCCTCAGCCTCCCGAGTAGCTGGGATTACAGATGCCCACCACCACGTCCAGCTAATTTTTATATTTTTAGTAGAGACGGGGTTTCACCATGTTGGTCAGGCTGGTCTCAAACTCCTGAACTCAGGTGATCCGCCCACCTCGGCCTCCCAAAGTGCTGGGATTACAGGTGTGAGCCACTGTGCCCAGCCCTAGCTGGATTCTTAGAACTGAAATTTCTATGTTTGCCTAAAAGGTACACAGGGAAGTGTGTTACAGATCCATCTTTTGCTGGCAATCCTGTCTCAACCTTTTCTCTTGTTTGCCATGCCCCATCTTCCCAAACAAGCTTCTGGGAAATGGAGACTGTGTCTTGCTTCAGGAGACTTAGATGTGAAAAGCAAATCTTCCTCAGTTAAACAGTGGCCCACTCGTGTTTAGAAAGTTATAAATGACCATGCCCACAAAAACACAAAAGAAAAAGATCATCTTCTCCCTCACTGGATTAAAGATGTATCTGTGTAGATACAGGACGATTTAAAAATGGATTATCTTTTAGATTAAATTGAATTGAAACATTTCCTTTTTATTTGGATTTAGAGGAGAAAATGCTATTTGCAGGCACATGATAAACTCCCCACTGTCTGTCCAGATCTTTCTCCCAAGCTCCAGATTCATATACCCAGGCGCCCATTAGATGGATCAATTCAGATGTTTAACAGGCATCCCGCACTCAGCTCTCCATTCTCTACTTCCACAATCTTCTCCTCTTCTAATCTTCCCTTTCTCAGCTAAAGTCACCACCGTTCACCCAGTTCCCAAGTCAAAACCTCAGATGCTGCCACTAATTCTTTCCACCAATCTACCCACAAGTCCTATTGGTTCCAGTACCAAAACATGTCTAGGTTTTGCCCACTTGTACCTCTGCCACTTCCACTCTGGAACCAGCCATTTACATTACCCCACCCCATCCGGACATAAGCAGTGGCCTCTTAGCCAGTGTCTTTGCCTCTCTTGAGTTCCCAGCATGCTCTTCCGAGCAGGCAGAATCTTTTAAAAATATACACCAGATTGGCTGGGCACAGTGGCTCACGCCTGTCATCTCAGCACTTTGGGAGGCCAAGGCGGGCGGATCACAAGGTCAGGAGATCGAGACCATCCCGGCTAACACGGTGAAACACCATCTCTACTAAAAATGCAAAAATTAGCCAGGCGTGGTGGCTCGCACCTGTAGTCCCAGCTACTCGGGAGGCTGAGGCAGGAGAATGGCTTAAACCTGGGAGGTGGAGGTTGCAGTGAGCCGAGATCACGCCACTGCACTCCAGCCTGGGCGACAGAGCGAGAATCTGTCTCAAAAAAAACAAAAAAACAAACAAACAAAAAAATGTACACCAGATCATTTAGGAAAGAGTATTTGAAAATCTACATTTTATAAAAAGTTGTAATGGGGGCATAGAATTGGCTTAATAAAATTTAGGATTTACTGAATGCATAGCTTTGGTGGGGGGTGGGGGTTGGTGTTTTCTGGAAGCATATTCATCATCTTGATTTTTGCTCCTAAGCATTTCTTGAGCAGAATTCTACTAGTGGTAGAAACAGGAGGTCCAGAAAAGTCCTTGGCGACAGACTGAGCTACCAAAGAGCTCTGTGATTAGATTTTTTGCTTCACTGCTGCCCTTTCTTTGGAGATTCCAAGACACTTGAACCTGACCTATCTATACTCTAGTTAGCAGCAAACATTTTCTTTGCTCTACTTACCTGGAAGATATCTTGATTGTTTCAAGTAGTACTGTTTAGAGGTTGGAGCAGTTGACAATTCGGAATCAGATTTTAGGGAAGTAACAGCAGGTAAGCTCTTGTTTTCCCCTGTCGAGTGGTTGGAGCCTGAGGGTACTGGCTCTGGAAGCCTTGAAAGCCAATGAAAGGTAGCATTACAGCACGAACAACGAGAGGATCTCGCCCACCCTCTGCACATCTCGCCCACCCTCTGCACATCTTCCTAAGCCAGTCAATCTGACCTCACTTAAATGGTTTCCATCAGTCTTTTGGCTAAGTGACAACTTCCCCTCCACCCGCGTAGATATTGGGTCGTGCACAGACTCATTTCTGATACCAGTATGTGACAGGAACCTTTATAACTGAGCAGCAATTTACTTGTGTGTAACATGTTTCTATCTGTCCTGCAACGGCTGCAGTTGGATTCATAACGTGGGAAACTGGTGTGCTGAGAGGGAAATAACAGCCATCTTCACCTGTTGACTAAAATAATTTACAATCAATGAGGTTGTTTGGGGCATGGTTTGGATGGCCTAAAAAACTGAAATGGGGAAAGAAGTGCTAGAAAAGCTCCCGTATACAATTTCCCGTCACCCTAGTGTCAGGCACAGAAAATAGGTATTTGTGGAGACATGCCTGTGTCTCAGCCAGAACAGACTTGTGCAGTGGCTAAGCACCTCGCTAGCTGTTTAGTGGTGTTTGTTAGTATTAAGACTGACTCTCTGCCTGTTGGTCCCTAACTCCCACAGTCCTGTTTCTGTGTACGGACTGAGGACTTTCTGCTTCGAGGCTTAGTTCTGTCTCATTCCCGAGGCCTGTCCCTGAGGCCTGTTTGACCAGGCAGCAGTGCGTGAGGCGGCCATTGCTTTGTGTTGCTGCCCATCCCTCTGTGTGCTGTAATGAGCCCTCCACGACCAACCTTCTCCCCACCACCCTCCGACTGGGCTCCTTCTTTGCTGGGGCCTGAATATACTGCCCAATTTCCATCACTTGTTAACTCCAAGCATCCATGGTTTCCACCTAGAAATTCATGCTACCAAACCCTACTCACCAAGTTGGCTCCCTTGGAAATGGATACTCACTTGGGTGGCCCTTTGAACTGCTGGCCACCTGCTTGGGGGCAGTTCTAGGCACAGGTGCGTCTGCTTCAATGGGAACAGTCCCGCCATTTCTGGCAACTTTCCCTTCCCCTGAGCCCACTGCTGTTATATCACTAACTGAAATTCTACCCATTCCCAAAACTACTCACTCTAAAAAGACTTTTCTGTCCTCATCAGAGGGATCTCTGCCCATAGACAGAACTCCCAGAGCTCCTTGCAGCTGTCACTAGTGGCACTAAATGCACACACTTGTCATGTGTTATAGTCCTCTGGAGGTCTTATTTCTGTTGCCATATATTTGATGAGTTGAAGAGAGGCTTAATTCCAACTAGGTATTTAGTAAACATCTACTGAATATAAATACAAGTATAAATCTAAATATAAATATCTTGCTTTTTGTTCACTTTTAAGAAGACAACCAGGCTGGGTGCAGTGGCTCACGCCTGTAATTCTAGCACTTTGAGAGGCAAAGGCAGGTGGATCACCTGAGATCAGGAGTTTGAGACCAGCCTGGCCAACATGGTGAAACCCTGTCTCTACTAAAAATACAAAAATTAGCTGGGCATGGTGGCGGCCACCTGTAATCCCAGCTACTTGGGAGGCTGAGACAGGAGGATCACTTGAACCCGGGAGGCAGAGGTTGCAGTGAGCCAAGATCGCACCACTGCACTCAGCCTGGGCGACAAGAGCAAAGCTCCATCTCAATCATAATAATAATTTAAAAAATAAGACAACCATTAAATAAAAGGTATACATGTTAGTATTTGGTACTCTGTATTCTTTATGGGGAGGCCCTGGCTGCCTGAGAGACCAAGCAGGGGATGGCAGGGTCTGTTCAATGCACCAGTTCACCTCCTATTCACCACTCCACTAATGCACCAGTTCACCTCCTATTCACCACTCCACTAATGCACCAGTTCACCTCCTATTCACCACTCCACTAATGCACCAGTTCACCTCCTATTCACCACTCCACTAATTCACCAGTTCACCTCCTATTCACCACTCCACTAATTCACCAGTTCACCTCCTATTCACCACTCCACTAATTCACCAGTTCACCTCCTATTCACCACTCCACTAATGCACCAGTTCACCTCCTATTCACCACTCCACTAATTCACCAGTTCACCTCCTATTCACCACTCCACTAATGCACCAGTTCACCTCCTATTCACCACTCCACTAATGCACCAGTTCACCTCCTATTCACCACTCCACTAATGCACCAGTTCACCTCCTATTCACCACTCCACTAATTCACCAGTTCACCTCCTATTCACCACTCCGCTAATTCACCAGTTCACCTCCTATTCACCACTCCGCTAATTCACCAGTTCACCTCCTATTCACCACTCCGCTAATTCACCAGTTCACCTCCTATTCACCACTCCGCTAATGCACCAGTTCACCTCCTATTCACCACTCCGCTAATGCACCAGTTCACCTCCTATTCACCACTCCGCTAATGCACCAGTTCACCTCCTATTCACCACTCCGCTAATGCACCAGTTCACCTCCTATTCACCACTCCGCTACTTCACCAGTTCACCTCCTATTCACCACTCCGCTAATGCACCAGTTCACCTCCTATTCACCACTCCGCTAATTCACCAGTTCACCTCCTGTTCACCACTCCGCTAATTCACCAGTTCACCTCCTGTTCACCACTCCGCTAATTCACCAATTCACCTCCTATTCACAAATCCACCAATTCACCAATTCAGCTCCTATTCACAAATCCAACAATTCACCAATTCAGCTCCTATTGCTAAAGAAGCAGTGTGGGGTAGAAGAGAGAAAGACCTGGATTTGAATTAATCCTTACCTGATCTTGGGCAAGAAACCCAGCCTATCCAAGTCTCAGCATCCTACTCTGCAGATATTTTTACTGAAGTATGAAAATTATAAAGTTTAGGCAGGAGCTTAACAGATGGTAGTATATTAATAATAATGATGATCATAATAATAACCATATGCCTAGAATTGTACAAGACCATTGAAAGATACCAAAAAATAAAAATGTAGAAGAAATGGCTGGGCGCAGTGGCTCACGCCTGTAATCCCAGCACTTTGGGAGGCTGAGGCAGGTGGATCACGAGGTCGGGAGATCGAGACCATCCTGGCTAACATGGTGAAACCCTGTCTCTACTAAAAAAAATACAAAAAATTAGCCGAGTGTGGTGGTGGGCACCTGCAGTCCCAGCTACTCGGGAGGCTGAGGCAGGAGAATGGCGTGAACCCAGGAGGCGGAGCTTGCAGTGAGCTGAGATCGCGCCACTGCACTCCAGCCTGGGTGACAGAGCGAGACTGTCTCAAAAAAAAAAAAAAAAAGTAGAAGAAATACCCACATGAAAAATTCACTGTCATACAGTTTTTCTAAAGAATTTCAAGAGAAAAGGGATAATTAATGTTGAAGAAATTTACTAATTGTTCCCTTGCTAGAAACAGGTATATAGACTACAACCTTGATCTTTTTTTGATTTTTTGAGACAGTGTCTCGCTCTGTTGCCCAGGCTGGGGTGCAGTGGCTCGGCCTTCCAAGCTCAAGCAATCCTCTCACCTCAGCCTCCTGAGTAGCTCGAACTACAGGTGTGGGCTACCACATCTGGCTAATTTTTGTATTTTTTTGTAGAGATGGAGTTTTGCCATATTGCCCAGGCTGGTCTCAAACTCCTAAGCTCAAGCAACCCACCTACCTCGGCCTCCTAAAGTGCTAGGTTTATAAGTATAAGCCACCATGAACAGCCACAACCTTGATCTTAACTATAGGTTTTGATTCAAACCTCTACCATCCTCAAAAATATATGACTAAAATTTATGAATAAATTATGAATAATTATAAATAATTATGAATAAAATTTAGCTGAAATCAGAATGACATGGGTTTTAAAAAATGTTTTCAAGTCGCCAGGTGCGGTGGCTCATGCCTGTAATCCCAACACTTTTGGAGGCCGAGGCAGGTGGATCACCTGAGGTCAGGAGTTCAAGACTAGCCTGGCCAACATGGTGAAACACTGTCTCTATTAAAAATACAAAAAATTAGCCAGGCGTGGTGGCACACGCCTGTAACAATCTGAGCTACTAAGGAGACTGAGACAGGAGAATTGCTTGAACCCTGGAGGCAGAGGTTGCAGTGAGCCGAGATCACATCACTGCACTCCAGCCTGGGCAATGAAGCGACATTCCGTCTCAAAAAGAAAAAAAAGAAAAAAAATGTTTCAAATCTCCCATATACTACATCAGTGGTCTTCAAACTCTTCTGTTCCTAGACCCAAATAATTGTTTTTTAAATTATGTAACTCCCTGCACATCTTTAAATAGACATCTATAATTTTTCATCATAAATTTGTTCCTTATTTCTTGTTAACAGCAGATAGAAACAGTATTTTATAAGATGAAATATTGTGAGGATTGACTGCAATTGGAGTATTTCATGGTATGGCTTGATAAAATAAGTTTTAACTACCTTATCCATAATACACTCTGATCCTCAAATAAGTAAAATTTTAATCCATGTGTTTTGAAAACCCATGGATTAAACACACAGATTAGGAAGGAGTACCTATGGAATGTGAAGACCTGGAAACGGATTGCCTAAGAGTTATCCAAGCAAAAAAGAAAAAAAAAAAAAAAAGAATTATCCAAGCATATGCACTCCTTAGAGATTCCTCGTGCCCCAAAGTGAAGACTTCCATACTATACCATGCCAAAGAGCTCCTGGATAAGTTTTCCTGACTCATAACACAACTGTTCTTCCTATTCTTCTGTTTCAAAGAGGAAACAGAGCATTTTAGTATATTTGAAAGAATACACATCACTAACGCCTGGTGCTTCAGTGTTTCCAAATCACCATGCTTTCCAACATGGGCTAAAATACAGTAGCCCCCATTACGTGTGGGGGATATGTTCTAAGACCCCCAGAGGATGCCTGAAACCACAGATAGTATCAAACCCTATACAGCCCATCTTTTCCTATATGTATGTGCATAGATACCTATGAGGAAGTTTAATTTATAAGTTGGGCACAGCAAGAGATTAACATTAATAACTAATACTAAAATAGAACAATTAAAACAATATATTGTAATAAAAGTTATGTGAATGTGCTCTCAAAAATATCTTTTTTTTGTTTTGAGACGGAGTCTCACTCTCACTCAGGCTGGAGTGCAGTGGCACAATCTCGGCTCACCACAACCTCTGCCTCCTGGGTTCAAGTTTCTCCTGCCTCAGCCTGCTGAGTAGCTGGGATTACAGGCGCCCGCCACCACACCCAGCTAATTTTTGTATTTTTAGTAAAGACGAGGTTTCACCATGTTGGCCAGGCTGGTCTCAATCTCCTGAACTCAGGTGATCCACCTACCTCAGCCTCCCAAAGTGCTGGGATTACAGGCATTGAGCCTCCGCACCCAGCCCAAAATATCTTATTGCACCGTACTGCAGGTAAATGAAACCATGGAAGGTGAAACTGCAGATTCAGGGGACTACTGTACCCAATTTCTGTAAGACAAGAACCAACAGAAAGCCAGTTTTCTGATTTGTCCCTTTATTTAGTAACCCTATGCCATGTAAGAGTTGAAATAACTGAGAGGTGTGACTTTCTTGCCTAGAGTGGAAGAGGACTTGAGTGGGCTTTTCCTCCAGTTCATGTATTTTTAGGAAAGAGTACCTATGGAATGTGAAGACCTGGAAACGGATTGCATAAGAGTTATCCAAGCAAAAAAAGAATTATCCAAGCATATGTACTCCTTAGAGATTCCTCGTGCTCCAAAGTGAAGACTTCCATACTATGTCATGCCAAATAGCTACTTGTATAAGTTTTCCTGACTCATAACACACTTGTTCTTTCTATTCTTCTGTTTCAAAGAGGAAAACAAAAAAAAAAGAAAGTATCTTTCCAAAATATTCACCAAAACTTAACCCATCCTAACTTCAAAGTCGAATAATGTACTAAGGATGACCTCACTTATAAAAAGTAAAGGAACTGCTAGAGATATTAAACTTCCAGAAAAGGCTCAGAAAATGATTGAAAAAAGTTTAGAATAGCGAGGAGGCAGTTAGTGAAATCTTAACACCATCAGAAGAAGCTGTTAACTTGGCACGTGGTGCTCTACTTCCTGCAACGAGGCATGTCAATTTCAAATGGGAATAATGATTGTCATTCACAAGAGCATCGTAAAAATGGAACAAGATCCCCTCTGATACGTTTTGGACATCTGTCCTCTCTAAATCTCATGTTGAAATGTAATCCCCAGTTTTGAGGTGGGGCCTGGCGGGAGGTGTTTGGACCATGGGAGCAGATCCCTCACAAATGGCTTGGTACTATCCTTGCGGTAACGAGTGAGTTCTCACTCTGAGTTCATGCAAGACTTGATCGTTTAAAAGAGTCTGGGACCTCCTCCCTCTCTCTCTTGCTCCCTCTCTTGCCATGTGACAGGCTGGATCCTCTGCCACCTTCTGCCATTATTCTAAGTTTCCAAAAGCCCTCACCAGAAGCACATGCTGGCACTATGCTTCCTGTACAACCTGCAGAACCATGGGCCAACACATTCTTTATAGCAATGTAAAAACGGACTGACACACTCTCTACACACACACACAGACACACACACCCCACTCATCTGTTAATACTGAGAACTGTTACTGTGAGAAGATTCTTACCTTTTCAGAAGTATGTGGAAAGATTTGTGTTTTGTGGAAGGCACCAATATTAAGCAAATTTTTTTCTTTTTTTCTTTTTTTTGAGACAGAGTCTCACTTTGTTACCCAGGCTGGAATGCAATGGCACAATCTTGGCTCACTGCAACATTCACCTCCCAGGTTCAAGAAATTCTCATGTCTCAGCTTCCCGAGTAGCTGGGATTACAGGTGCACACCACCACACCCAGCTAATTTTTGTATTTTTAGTAGAGACGGGGTTTCACCATGTCAGCCAGGCTAGTTTCAAACTCCTGGCCTCAAGTGATCAACCTGCCTCGGCCTCCCAAAGTGCTGGGATTACAGGCCTGAGCCACTACACCTGGCCTGTTAAGCAAACTTTTCTTCTTTTAGGGTCTACATGCATTTATATTTAATGAGTAAAATAAAGTTAATGCATGGCAAAAATATTTTTCTGAGGAATTTGAAATCTTACCGAAATGGAGAATCTTTTTTCCTTTTTTCTTTAAAAACACCCATGCTTGGCTTCTTGGAATGGGAGGCTCCGAAATCATAGTCCTCCAACTCTTCCCAGCTATCTCCAGACTTGAAGATAGTCTGACCCCAACGCCTCCTACCACTTTTATGACTCAGTGTGCCATTTGGCTTCTGTGGTGGAAAATCAGTCATCATAATCTTTAATCATGTACTGAATGCCTTTCATGCACAAGCTACTATCTATGTAAGACACTAACAGTCCCCATTCTCAAGGAGCGTTCCATACATGTAAGGGCATAACATATATACACATTTAAAAGCATGAACAAAAATGGGCGGTACATGCCAAAAATATGATAGGTGTTCAGAGGAGAGATCTCTGTGAACTAGGTTGGTGAGAGACTTGAATATTTAGGATCTGAGTTGACTCTTCATTGACAGGAAGGATCTGGAAACCTGAGACTTGGCTATGCTCTTTGGGCAAGTGACTTAACTTCTCAAAGCCTTAGTGTCCTCCTTAAGTGGGGACAGCCTTAATGAGAAGGACACTAAGGCTGGCATGTGCCAGCATCTTTTACTCTTCCCCCTCCTTGAATGCAGACACGACATCCAAAGGAACACCAGTCATCCTGTGGCCACAGGAATGAAAGCCACCTGCTCAGGGTGGTGGAGCGGGAAGCCAGCAGCAGCCTGCCTCCTCTGCAAGCTTCATGAGCTCCAGCTACCCACCACCCGATTTCTTGTTATCTGAGAACAACAATCCCTATTGTTTAAGCCACAGTGGTCGAGTTTTTGTCATAAGTCCCTGAATGTAATCCTAACGGAAACAGAGAGGGAAGTATGAGTCTGACTGTCACAGAATGGAGGCATCATTAACAGAAATAAGGAATGGGAAAGAAGTCCTGGCTTAGAGCACACAATGAATTGGTTTTATACAAATTTACAGAAAGTGGTTTGGGGGCACATAAACAGAAAAATCCAAAAGGCAACTCAAAACTAGGGAAGAGAGCATGGAAAATTTTCAGAAAATACACCTATGTTGGGTGCAGGGAGATTCTTAAAGAATGGACATGCTATTGCTTGAAGCTGACGGTATTACAGTGATAGTGATGGATGATAACAAAAAGCAGTATTTGCCAGCTTCTCTACACTATTACTTTCTCTGCCAGGCACAACAATCTCCAGAATAAAGAGAATAAAAAAAATGTTAAGCTCCAGATGAGTAGGGTTAATAAAAGGTTACCCTTAGCTGAGTTTGAGCCTCCCTTCTGTTGAATTGTATTTTAGGGTACTGATCCTGAACACTGCTGAACAATATCAGTGATATGCAAGAATCTGGTATGGCTGAGAAGACTGGAAAGGGGCAAATATAATACTTTTAATAAAGTAGAAGATTTATTTTTGCAAACTCCACATCAGTAAGTTTGGTAGAGGATGAGGGCAAAGATTCTAAAATCAATTATTAAAGGGGATGTTTGTGAGCACTAAGGAAAAACAGTGATAGCTCATATAGACCACACTTTTTCATAAAAGGCAAACAATGAATTCATTCAGTGTAGTGTATGTGGACTTCAGCCCAGTGGGTGAAGGCAGCAAAGGGGATCAGCACATAGTTGAAGAACTTGACCAACAGTACTGACAAATGGATCAACGTCAATCTAGAGAAAGGTTCTAGTAGCCTGCCCAAGATCTCACGGTCGTTCTATTCATCATGAAGATTCAGGAGCAAAACAGACAACTAAACAAATACACAGCTGGCAACAAGCTGGGCAGAATGGGTAAACTGAGAAGAAAAAATACAGATTCAAAAATAATTAGAAATTGAAGAGGTAAGAGATCTTGCAACTTTTTGAATCCTAGAGATGAAATACACAAGTCAGAGGTACAGAATATGCAATTTAGGAGAAGCATTTGTGAAAAAACAGGTATACTTAGAAATTTTAGTTAACACAGTACTTAATCCCAGCTCTGGAACTCACCTATATAAAAATGTGTGTGTGGCGGGGCTGGGGGCTAGGTTATTCTCTTTAACTTAGAGAATGCACACAGCGTCCCTCGCATATGCATGGCACTTGGAAGCTACTCAATAAATATTAACTTCCTTTCCTTCCCTCACAATATGAGTCAACAATTGATGCATCTTCCAAGGGGTCATGGGGAGGACTGTCATCGTTGGTGGCACGAGTGCACATATGGTTTAGAATGTCGGAGGTGATTCGCCCTGCTCTATATTCCCTGCCTGCTGTCTGCCTCTAGCTCTGGCAACCTCATTCTAAGTGGAAAGCAAGATGAGAGGGGACTTAAAGACACATTCATAATAGGAACTGAGAGTTATCAGTCATTGGTGAATGGTGTTATATGCAGAGCCCTTAAGGGAATTGGAGAAGTTTCTCTAGAGAAAAGGGCAGATAATATAAGGGCTATTTTCAAATATCTAAAAGGCTGCCTTTCTAGAAAAGTGATTAGCCTTCATTAAAAGCTAGAAAACCAGATTTTACCCAGTATTAAGGAAGAACTTTCTAATATTCAGAACTGTTCCAAAGATAAAAGTGGACTCCCCAGGACCCCAGAGGTGGTTTACAAGTCATGTGGGCAATTATTCATTCCTTCATTCACTGAACAAATATCTACTGAGAATCTACCATGTGGCAGGCACTGGTCGGGGTGCTGAGGCTGTACTGATAAACACACAAACATTCCTGACCTCACTGAGCTTGCTGCATTCCAGAGGAAGAGACAAATAAACAATAAACATAAGAAGTAATTAACAGTATGTTAGAATGTGATTAGTGCTATTGGGGGACGAGGAGGCCTTGCTTATCTAGGTTGGTGGGGCAGTTGGGGACTGGAAGGAAATAGATACAGTGCTGTATAAGACCGATTTCCATCCTAAAATGCCATAATGCAAACACATTTGGGAGTGTATACCCAGTGGGACAGCTAAAATACTACAGCAACTGAAGAGCTCCTGGAGCTGAACAAAAGATGGAAGAAAAAGTTTTATACTATGCCTGACACTTTAAAAACCTATTCTGGCCAGGTGCGGTGGCTCAGGCCTGTAATCCAAGCACTTTGGGAGGCCAAGGAGGGTGGATCACCTGAGGTCAGGAGTTCAAGACCAGCCGGACCAACATGGAGAAACCCCATCTCTACTAAAAATACAAAATTAGCTGGGCATGGTGGCACATGCCTGTAATCCGAGCTACTCAGGAGGCTGAGGCAGGAGGATTGCTTGAACCTGGGAGGTGGAGGTTGTGGTGAGCTGAGATCACACCATTGCACTCCAGCCTGGGCAACAAGAGCAAAACTCTGTCTCAAAATAATAATAATAATAATAATAAATAAAAACCCATTCTCTCCATGTTCCTTAGCATTTAAGAACACTGTAAAATGAAAGTACTGTTAAAAATTCTTAAGATTTAGGATCAGTACTCTGGAGTACCCGATTCTTTTAAATTCTTTCTTTGAATTCTTCTGCATTGAAAGAATTTTAGGCCGGGCTTGGTGGCTCACGCCTGTAATCCCAGCACTTTGGGAGGCCGAGATGGGTGGATCATCTGAGGTCAGGAGTTCGAGACCAGCCTGGCCAACATGGTCTCCACTAAAAATACAAAAATTAGCTGGGTGTGGTGGTGGGTGCCTATAATCCCAGCCACTCAGGAAGCTGAGGCAAGAGAACTGCTTGAACCTGGGAGGTGGAGGTTGCAGTGAGCCAAGATCGTGCCATTGCACTCCAGCCTGGGCAAATAGAGTGAAACTCCGTCTCAAGAAATAAAAAAGAAAAGCCCAGGTGCAGTGGCTCATGCCTGTAATCCCAGAACTTTGGGAGGCCAAGGCGGGTGTATCACTTGCAGTCAGGAACTCAAGACCAGCCTGGACAACATGGTGAAACCCCATCTCTACTAAAAATACAAAAAAATATCCAGGCGTGGTGGTGGGCGTCTGTAATCCCAGCTACTTGGGAGGCTGAGGCAGGAGAATCGCTTGAACCCAGGAGTCAGAGATTGCAGTGAGCTAAGGTCGTGCCACTGCACTCCAGCCTAGGCAACAAAAGCGAACCTCCGTCTCAAAAAAAGAAAAAGAAAAAAGACTGAAGACTGTAGCATGTAAACTTGGTTACTTTTATCCTGAAAGTTTTTCTTTTTATAAACCATATTAGAATTTTAAGTGATCTCATGTCAAGCTCCAACCAGAGGACTCAGGGTCTTTAACAAAGAAAAATCTTTTATATCTTTTCCAACATTATTAGAAATGCCTCGAAAAAAATCTTAATTGCACGAGTCAAACTATTTCATTGCAAGTGTCATGACTGGCTACTCACAGTTGGCATGTTTTTGACGATGCTCGGGAATAGCGTTTGTGGCGGTTTCTCCTGACTCTGTTGCTTTGGAGGTTGCTGGACGCTCAGGTTCTGTGGCGGCTGAATGGGCTGCAGTGGCTGCTGGCTAGTTTTTGGCTGGGGTTGTCCAACAACCTGATCGATTATATCCGGCAGAGGCTTAGGCTCTACCTCAACTAAAGATGGCTTTGATTCTAATGGTTGCAGCTGCTTATTTAAAGACTGTTTTGATTCCAGATGATTTGACGAAGGGCCTAATACCTGACCAACTTGAAAATATGGGTGTTTCAATGCCTATAAAAACACAGAGAAAACAACAAATGGAAAACAGTTCCACCTAAATGTATTGCACATAAACTATGGTTGGCCCTGTGCGAGGCATTTATCATTAGCCCACATGAGCTTCAAAGATTTAGAAAGCAGCCATCATTCCCTATACAGTGCCTCTTTTAAAAGATAACCAGAAAAAAATGATTTGAGAAATAAATTGCATTAAAAAATTAAAAGTGGCTGGGCATGGTGGCTCACGCCTATAATCCTAGCACTTTGGGAGGATGAGGTGGGAGGATCACTTGCGGTCAGGAGTTCAAGACCAGCCCGACCAACATGGTGAAACCCAGTCTCTACTAAAAATACAAAAATTAGCCAGGCGTGTTGGTGGATGCCTGTAACCCCAGTTATACGGGAGGGTGAGGCATGAGAATCGCTTGAACCTGGGAGGAGGAGATTGTAGTGAGCCAAGATTGTGCCACTGCACTTCAACCTAGGCAACACAGCGAGACTCCACCTCAAAAAAAAAAAAAAAAAAGTACTAGTAGGAAAAAATAGAAAGCTCACTTGTTATTATAACATCTAAGCAAAACAGCTGTTCTATTTATTTAAAGATTTGTTAGTGAAAATAAAATGTAATTTATAGACATTGGCTAAATTAATGTGATTACTTCAAGCTAAAATACTACACACCAATAATGGTTTAGAGTACACTCAAAGACATTAAAAAGTGAATTAAGAAAATCTTCCATATAGATTATTTGAAATGATTAACCAGAGCTGTATGTAAAATTCCGGGTTACTCTCAGCCTGAGTACAACAATATACCTACTAGTAATAAAAAAAAAATCTAAAGAGGGGACAACAAACACATACTGTTGAAGTTTATTTCATCGGTATACCAGCAAAGAGAAGACATTTATGGGAAGAAAATATAAAAATATTATGAAAAATGATCACTGTTTGAGTTTTATCTAGATCAGTCACCTGACTGCTTGCATGAGAGGGAAAGGACCCCCTGGTGTATGGGTGGCACCATCTAATAGCAGTGCTTCCCAAATGGAGGCAAGTTTGCCCCTTGGGAGATATCTGGCAATGTCTGGAGACATTTCTTATTATAATGACAGGGGTTGGGGGACGCTACTAGTGTCTAGTGTCTAGAGGGCCAGGGACATTGCTAACTATCCCATAATGCACACAATAGCACCCCACAGCAAAGAGTTATCTGGTTCACAACGTCAGTAAGGCTAAAACCGAAAAAATATTCTACAGAATGTCTAAAGCCTGTGTAGCTCAGCTATGGAAAAATTCCCTTATTGGCATCAAATACCTGGGCAAAGTAGCTGGTCATTTTTGGGGGGATGGGTTCCTTAAGATGGTCAAGCTCTGTTCCCCTGAACCTCCTGCCTTTAGCCAGTCCCCACATAGGTGGGAACATAGCCCTGACCAACAGTTAACTCCTCCCATGTGTAAGGGCAGTTTTTAGAGGAACAGAAGGCAGCTTGGTACTTTAAATGGTCTTCATATTCTACAACTTAACCAACCTCTCTCCCTAATTAGGTCTTTCCACTTCCACTAAAAAGCAGGGCTGTGAAACAGAGCACAAGAAAGAGTTTGTTAAGGGTTACTTGCATTCTCAGTGGAATACACAAATATACATAATTTGAATACTTCAATGCCTAGCACACTGAAGGTACTCAAATTCTGAATTAAGTCACATTAAGTAATTAGTATGTCAATATTCCTAAATTAATGATGCATATTTTGGAGCTGGAAACTTTGAGGATGTGTTTTGTAATTTCAAGGCTTTATTTATAACAACTCTTCCCTTTTTTTTTTTTTTTTTTTTTGAGATGGAGTCTCGCTCTGTCACCCAGACTGGAGTGCAGTGGCACGATCTTGGCTCACTGCATCCGCCTCCTGGGTTCAAGCAATTCTCCTGCCTCAGCCTCCCGAGTAGCTGGGATTACAGGCACACGCCACCATGCCCAGCTAATTTTTGTATTTTTAATAGAGACAGGGTTTCACCATGTTGGTCAGGCCGGTCTCAAGCTCCTGACCTCGTGATCCGCCCACCTTGGCCTCTCAAAGTGCTAGGATTACAGGTATGAGCCACTGTGCCCGGCCAACTCTTCCCTTTTAAGATACTTTAAGATACCAGTTACTATCCTTCAAGAAGAGGGAAAACTTTAAAAATTAATAGCATTTATTTTTTCCTATTTACTTAAGGGAAGCAGTGATCATTGTAGAGAATGAGAAACGTATAGAGTTCTCAAGACAAAAATAAAAATTTAACACCCAGAGACAACCAAGACTAACATTTTTTATACTTTTCGGTATTTTTTTCTCATCATATAAAATATATTTTTCAAAAACAAAATCATATTATTTGTATAATAGTATTTTAGCATGAGATTTCTCCCAAATTATTTAAAAATTTTATTTTACAAATTCACTGTTAATGCTGGCAGTATATTCCAAATTAAAGATGCACATAACCTAAGTTTAGAAACATTATTTATTTATTTATTTATTTATTTATTTATTTATTTATTTATTTTTGAGACAGAGTCTCACTCTGTCACCCAGGCTGGAGTGCAGTGGCACGATCTTGGCTCATTGCAACCTCCGCCTCCTGGGTTCAAGCTATCCTTCTGCCTCAGCCTCCCGAGTAGCTGAGATTACAGGTGTGTGTCACCATGCCTAGCTAATTTTTTGTATTTTTAGTAGAGATGGGGTTCTGCCACGTTGGCCAGGCTGATCTCAAACTCCTGACCTCAAGTGATCCGCCTGCCTCGGAAAGTGCTGGGATTACAGGTGTGCGGCACTGCAGAGCCACCGCACATGGTTGGAAACATTTTGATTAACTTTCAATGTACAGTTTTCTATTGGAATTGAACATCTTTGAGCATAATTTCTGATTGTCTTCAAGGCTCTTTTTATATACTACAAAATTACTTTCTCTTACTAAGAGAGATAAATGAAAAACGGTATCTCATTTCTACTTGCATTTTATAATAGTAAACAAAGACTGAACATTTAAAAAATATTTTTTGTAATCTGTATTTCTTTTCCTGTGTTTCTTTTTCATGTCCCATTACTACTTTTCTTTTTAAAATACATTTGAAAAACTTATTATGTCTTTATTATGAAGGTAATGAATGTTTAGAAAAATTAGAAAATATGGGCCAGGTGTGGTGGCTCACGCCTATATTATTTCAGCACTTTGGGAGGCCAAGGCAGGAGAACTGCACGAGACCAGGGGTTTGAGACCAGTCAGGACAACATAGTAAGACCCCATCTTTAAAGAAACAAAACTTTCAAAAAATTTTAAAAAAGAAAAATTAGAAAATACACTTAAACGGCTGGGCACAGTGGTTCATGCCTGTAATCCCAGCACTTTGGGAGGCCAAGGCAGGCAGATCACCTGAGGTCAGGAGATCAACAGCAGCCTGGCCAACATGGTAAAACTCCGTCTCTGGCCAGGCACAGTGGCACATTCCTGTAATCCCAGAACTTAGGGAGGCCGAGGTGGGTGGATCACCTAAGGTCAGGAGTTCAAGATCAGCCTGACCAACAAGGTGAAACCCCATCTCTACTAAAAATACAAAAATTAGCCAGGTGTGGTGGCAGGCACCTGTAGTCCCAGCTACTAGGGAGGCTGAGACAGAAGAATTGCTTGTATCTGGGAGGCGGAGGGTGTAGTGAACCGAGATCACGCTACTGCACTCCAGCCTGGGCGATGGAGCGAGACTCCGTTTCAAAAACAAAAACAAAAACAAAAAAAAACTAAACAAAAAAACCCCTCTGGTCTCTACAAAAATACAAAAATAAGCCAAGCGTGGTGGCGGGCACCTGCAATCCCAGCAACTCGGGAGGCTGAGGCAGGAGAATCGCCTGAACCCAGGAGGCGGAGGTTGCAGTGAGTGGAGATCATGCCACTACACTCCAGCCTGGGCAACAGAAACTCCATCTCAAAAAAAAAAGAAAATACACATACACATTTCAGTATTTTTCTTGTGTTTCTGTAGGAGTATTATATTAAGAATTAAAAATAATTTTCTCTGTCTTATCTTTCCATTTTAAGATTTTTACATAGAGAAAAATTTTACTTTTTATGTAATCAAATTGTTTGAATCTTCCTTTTGTGGTTTCTTCTATTATTTTTATACCCGTGTTTTTTCACCTTGAGATCAAATACACATGTATGCTTTCCTTTTGTTTCTAACAGTTTAGGGTGCTTTTTTTTTTACACTTTGAAAATGTAATCCTGGTCGGGCGCGGTGGCTCACACCTGTAATCCCAGCACTTTGGGAGGCCAAGGAGGGCAGATCACCTGAGGTTGGGAGGTCGAGACCAGCCTCACCAACATGGAGAAACCCTGTCTCTACTAAAAATACAAAATTAGCCAGGCGTGGTGGCTCATGCCTGTAATCTCAGCTACTCGGGAGGCTGAGGGTGGGAGAATCACTTGAACCCAGGAGGCAGAGGTTGCGGTGAGCCGAGATCATGCCATTGCACTCCAGCCTGGGCAACAAGAGTGAAACTCCATCTCAACAACAACAACAAAATGTAACCCTTCTGTGAGTTGTAAAGTATGGTGAGCAGTAAGGACCTCAATTTATTTTTTTCCCTAAGAGCTAATGAATTTTCCCAGTATCACCCACTGAGCCGTCCTCCCCTCTTTGTGATGCCACGTTTGTTTACCTTGTGCTGACTCATATGTTCTGCAACATTCAGCTATTTGTCAATTCTTATGCCAGTACTTCCACTGTTACCATCATCAATTTAAAGATTACTTTAATATCTGATGGGGCAAGCTGTCCATCCCTATCACCGCTCTCTAATTCCTTATTCTTGTTTTAACATATCTTGACTATCCTTTCCCATTTGTTCTTCCAGATGACATTTAGAAAACATTTTCTCAAGATTAATTTTAAAAAAAGCAAAATAAATTTTTGTAATTTTCACATGGAATTTATATTTAAATGATGAGAATACAATAAAGTTTATTATTGCCTTTTTATTGAAGCCTTGCAGACAAAAACACTGGGTTTAAAGGCCCTAGACTTGGAATACATCTGTAGATATGTCAGGTGTAGTCACAAAGGAACAAAGCCTGGGTGCCACAATGCTGCCCTCTTGTGGCAGCCAGAGGCTGCACACTCCAGTCCCAGCAAGGGATGATACTGTTGTATAAAGTGAACCAGAATCCCACCCCTAAACTGTAAAGGCAGCATAGGAAAGTCTACTATGTGGAATGATTCATGAGATGCCTTTTTGCTTCCATGACAGATTCCTTCATAACTAGTCTGTCGCAGGTCTGAATTTTTATCATTGCAGATTGATTCCTTGTTGCAACCTCAGGGTTCTTCATTTGAACCACAAAACTCAGAAAATCATTGGTGTGGCTATTTCTGCATTTCTCCCAATGATATTATATGCCTAGAAATTAATTTATTACATACGCTGGATGCCTAGGACTTTGTGTTTAATTCTCTTAGTAAAATCCTGGTTGAGAATAGACCTGCCTTTGTAAATGAAAACATCCCTGATATTACAAAACCTAAACATTTTTAAAGGTCTAACAGGAAGACTCCTCTTACCTGGCTTGCTGTCGGTCGTTTCTTTGGATCCCAATTCAACATTTCGGTCATGAGCTGAATAGCTTCATTACTGGCATTGGGAATAAGAGTTTTTAAGTTTATAGGAACACACTGGGGAAAACGGAAGTTCATAGAGGATGCCAGCTGGTATCCTTCTGGCCAGTCACTCTGTTTCAGGAATATATAAGTGCAGGTGGGGAGGGCAAAACAAATTGTTTTTAGTAATCCATTTAAAAAACACAGCAGTAATATAAACATCATTTATGTTTGAACATTTTCATGTTGATCCATATAAACATGAAAATGAAATACCAGACCACGTCTATAATTTAGTGCTACGACAGTATAGAAAGAACATTAAGCTGAGAGTTAGGAAACAATGCGAAAAGCACTTTTATAGCTTTTTTTTGTTTGTTTTTTTGTGTTTTTTTTGAGACAGGATCTGGCTCTGTTATCCAGGTTGGAGTGCAGTGGAGCAATCATGGCTCACTACAGCCTCACCCTCCCGGGCTCAAAAGATCCTCCTACCTCAGACTCCTGAGTAGCTGGGACTACAGGTGCGCACCATCACACCTGGCTAATTTTTTTTTGTGGAGACGGGGTTTCACTATGTTGCCCAGGCTGGTCTTGAACTCCTGGGCTCAAGTGATCCTCCTGCCTGGGCTTCCCAAAGTGCTGGGACTACAGGCATGAGCCACCATGCCCGCCTTTATAAATTTTGCAATATTAAGCTCTTGTCTGGTTTTAGATCCTGATGGTGATGTTGCTGTGATGATACCTGGGTTAACTCTGAACAAATAAGGAAAAGTGCTTTACAAAGAGGCTGACTGTGAACAAAGATCCTTGTCGTGTATATTACCCATTGCATACAATGTTAAAAATGCACATATCTGGGAAATGACAATTACATTAAAGCTTTAATATCTACATTTACTTGTGTAATGTTAACTACAAGGCACTTACTAATTTAATTAGGATGTCATTATATACACACTTATAAAGCACATTTCAGAAAGAAAGGTGTAGATGAAATATAGTTAATTGAAAAGCACTCAGTTCAAGAAGTCAAATATCCACAGGGGAGATATAAAAAAGGAAACAAGAAACGGTTAAGAAAAAACAAGGTTCAAGACACCAGGGGTTAACAGGTGATGCCAATGGCCAGCCACAGAATGAGCAGGAAAGAGCTCAAGCAAGGCTGTCTGTACAGTGTCAGCTGGGCATCACCCCCAAGTTACACTCTAAACACACAGAATTTTTCCTGAAGTTCTTAAGGAAAGGCAAGCACCTGTTTTTCTTCAGCTGGTGGGATTCTGGCTTCTTGCAATCCTTAACCCACTCCGATTAAAAAAATAAGGATTACAGCCGGGCGTGGTGGCTCACACCAAGTAATCCCAGCACTTTGGGAGGCTGAGGTGGGCAGATCGCAGATCGCTTGAGCTCAAGAGTTCAAGACCAGCCTGGCCAACATGGTGAAATCTCCTCTCTACTAACAATAGAAAAATTGACCAGGCGTGGTGGTGCACACCTGTAATCCCAGCTACTTGGGAGGCTGAGGCATGAGAATTGCTTAAACCTGGGAGGTGGAGGTTGCAGTGAGCTGAGATTGAGCCACTGCACTCCAACCTGGGCAACAGAGCAAGACTCCATCTCAAAAAAAAAAAAAGAATTATAAGAAAATTAATCATTAAAGTATGAGCCTATTTCAAAATGAAAATATCAGATATCTAGGCAAAAGTTGTAAATAATCAAAATTATAAAATTAAAAGCAAAGTAGCAAGATAGAAATAATCAAAAGTTATAGCAACTTAGGGACAAGAGTACTTACTTTTTTGGGAGTCCCTAAAACTTGGCAAATTTTAAAGATTTCATCGACCTCACTTGTCCCTGGGAAAAGTGGCCTTAACATATAGAGTTCAGCCATGATACTTCCAACAGCCCACACATCAATGGGAGAACTATAAACTGAAGATCTCAGTAAAACTTCAGGGGCACGATACCTATGAAAATAGAGAACAAAAGAGGTAATTTTGATTGCAATTTCAAAGGTGGATGGGCAGTAGCATTCTACGCTGTGTGGTCATGCATTTCCATCAAGGAACAGGTATTCAGACCCTGTTCCATCTGTGTGTCAGGCATTTGTACAATGTTCTGGGGATAATAGGACACAACACATGTTCCCTGATCACAGACAATGAGTGGGGCTGGAGACAAATGTCTATGAAATGTCCATCAAGCCTAAGACAGGAACTCAACTGAATAGATATGGAAATAAGTGCCATCTGATATATTAAGAAAAAAAGTAGAAAAACTATGTTACAAAGCATTATATTCAGCATCTATTCACAAGGAAGCACAGAAAACAAAAGATGAACAGGATTATATCCTGAGTAGTGGAGTTTTTTTTTATCAGTTTGAAAGTACTGATATCCTCAACTGACTCCTCTTCTGTAGTCAACTATATTTATTGAGTGGAGTTTTGCTCTTGTTGCCCAGGCTGGAGTGCAATGGCGCGGTCCCGGCTCACTGCAACCTCCGCCTCTTGGGTTCAAGTGATTATCCTGCCTCAGCCTCCCGAGCAGCGGGGATTACAGGGGCACACCACCATGCCCAGCTAATTTTTGTATTTTTAGTAGAGACGGGGTTTCCCCATGTTGGCCAGGCTGGTCTCGAACTCCTGACCTCAGGTGATCAGCCTGCCTTAGCCTCCCGAAGTGCTGAGATTACAGGCATGAGCCACTGCACCCAGCCTAACAATATTTTTAATTGAGAAAAATACTCAATTTACAAGAGCAAAGTGAGCTGGTGAGTCCAACACAAAGTCTGCTAAATGGAAGACACTCTCAATTCTCTTTTTTTCCAACCAAAATGTGTAAATATTTCAGTCCAAATGTTTGGCATACTGTCTTTTTGCTTTCATTGAGAATACTGCAAGCCCTCAAATAAACTAGTTTTGTTCACTGTTGTTTTTGCTCAATGTTGTTTCATTGTAATGTTGATGAGAAAGAAAAAAAAAGAAAGGCATTTCTGGCTGGGCCAATGTGTGGGGTTTGCACATTCTCCCCAAGTCTACAAGTTTTCTCCAGGACTCCAGCTTCCTCCCATATCCTAGATATGTGCATGTCAGGTGAACTGGGGTGCCTGTGTGGCCCCAGGATGAGTGTGTGCATGTGTGTGTCGGGGGGGGGGTGGGGAGGGGGCGTGCTGCCATGGGAGGCTGTCCCGTCCATGGTTGGTGCTCACCTTGCACCCCCAGCTTCCAGGACACGCTGTTGCCACCTGTGACCCTGAACTAGAATAACTTGGCGAATAATTATCTTCCTTGTTTTTATTAATGTTTCTCAAATGTATGTATAGCTTACATGTATTTCAATGTTCAATATTAGTGTTTTGGTCACTATTTAGAAGTTTGGTGGCCAGGCACAGTGGCTCACACCTGTAATTGCAGCACTTTGGGAGACCAAGGCGGGTGAATCATGAGGTCAGGAGTTCGAGACCGGCCTGGCCAACATGGTGAAACCCCGTCTCTACTAAAAATACAAAAACTTAGCTGGGTGTAGTGGTGGGCGTCTGTAAGCTCAGCTACTCGAGAGGCTGAGGCAGGAGAATCACTTGAATCCGGGAGGCAGAGGTTGCAGTGAGCCGAGATCGTGCCACTGCACTACAGCCTGGGTGACAGGAAAAAAAAAAAAAAAAGAAGTTTGGTGATGTTTTTGTGACCAGAAACGTGCCATAAAATTGTTTACTTTAATTAGCCTATGGTCGAATTGGTTTCATCATATGTTGTTTCACTTAAAGTGAAACTTTCCAAGAACCTACTGATGATGTTAAGTGAGAACTTACTATACTTTGACGAATATTTTTACAAGCTTTATTGATATATAATTCACATAATATACAGTTGATCCATTTAAAGTGTACATCACACTGCTTTCTCCCAAGGTGCCTTCACGTGTCTTCCCTCTTCCATCTCTCTGTCTGCCTTCTTTTTATAAGGACATCAGTCTTACTGGATTAAGACCAGCCAGGCTGTGGTCTGACCTCATCTTAATCTGATTACATTTGCAAAGACCCTATTTCAAAATAAGGTCACATTCGCAGGTAACCAGGGCGGATCCCTCATGAAAGGCCTGGTGCTGTTCTCACGTAGTGAATGAGTTCTTTTTCAGGCAAGATGAAATTAGTTCCTGAGAGAGTGGGTTGCTCCACGGCAAGCTTCCTCCTCTTGTTTGTTCCCTTCTCGCACGTGCCCATTTCCCCTTTGACCTTCACCCCGCCATCTTTTCTTTTTTTTTTTTTTGAGACGGAGTTTTGCTCTTGTTGCCCAGGCTGGAGTGCAATGGCGCGATCTCGGGTCACTGCAACCTCCACCTCCCGGGTTCAAGTGATTCTCCTGCCTCAGCCTCCCAAGTTACAAGTATGTGCCACCATGCCTGGCTAATTTTTTTTGTTTTTGAGACAGAGTCTTGCTCTGTCACCCAGGCTGGAGTGCAGTGGCGCGATCTTCGCTCACTGCAAGCTCCGCCTCCCAGGTTAACGCCATTCTCCTGCCTCAGCCTCCCAAGTAGCTGGGACTAGCTGGGACTACAGGTGCCCGCCACCACACCCGTCTAATTTTTTTTTTTTTTTTTTTTTTTTTGTATATTTAGTAGAGACGGGGTTTCACTGTGTTAGCCAAAATGGTCTTGATTTCCTGACCTCGTGATCCACCTGCCTCGGATTCCCAAAGTGCTGGGATTACAGGCGTGAGCCACTGTGCCCGGCCTAATTTTTGTATTTTTAGTAGAGACTGGGTTTCACCACGTTGGCCAGGCTGGTCTCGAACTCCTGACCTCAGGTGATCCACCCGTCCTGGCCTCCCACAGTGCTGGGATTCAGGTGTGAGCCACCACGCCCGGCCTGACCTTCTCCACCATGTTTTGATGCAGCATAAAAACCCACATCAGAAGCCAAGCGGATGCCAGTGCCATGCTTCTTGTACAGCCTGCAGAACTGGAAGCCAAATAAACCTCCTTTCTTTACCAACTTCCCAGCCGCAGGTGTTCCTTTACAGCAACACAAAAAAACACACTAAGACACGGACTCCTTTCTTTCAGCCCCCACATCTGATTCATTAGAATCCCACATTTCTCACTACCTGCATGGCCAGCAGGTCCAAGTCACTATCATTTCTGGCCACTCTACAAACTCTGCCCTTGTTTCCTACGACTGCCCTCCTTATTCATTCTGCACTGTGCAGAATTCACGTGTGGCGTGCACCTGTCTCAAGGCTTTTACTCTGCCTAAAAAAAATCCTGCTGGCCCTGGCATCTCCATCAGGGCTACTCTCAGTCAGACCCTCCATGTAACATTCCTTTCTCTCCCCATCTCCCCCAACTCCCTGCCCCCTTTCCTATTTTATTTTTCTTTATAATAATGTATCAACATCTGATACACATATATTCCTTTTTTTTTTTTTTTTTTTTTTTTGAGAAAGAGTCTTGCTCTGTTGCCCAGGCTGGAGTTCAGTGGCGCAATCTCGGCTCACTGCAACCTCTGCCCCCAAGGTTCAAGTGATTCTCATGCCTCAGCCTCCCAAGTAACTGGCACCAAGGCGCGTGACACCACACCCGGCTAATTTTGTATTTTTAGTAGAAACGGGGTTTAGCCATGTTGGCCAGGCTGGTCTCGAACTCCTGGTCTCAAGTGATCCCCCACCTCGGCCTCCCAAAGTGCTGGGATTACAGGCGTGAGCCACCATGCCCAGCCTGATACACATATGTTCTTGTTTTCACTGGAGTATAATATTCACACAGGCAGAGGCATGTGTTGTAAGAGTAGAGCTTGATGAATTTTCACAAATACAACACATCCACAGACCCAGCACCCAGATCAAGAAAGACATGTTATCGGCCGGGCCCGGTGGCTCACGCCTGTAATCCCAGCACTATGCATAGGAGGCCAAGGTGGGAGGATCACCGGAGGTCAGGAATTTGAGACCAGCCTGGCTAACACGGTGAAACCACGTCTCTACTAAAAATACAAAAATTAGCTGGGCATGGTGATGGGTGCCTGTAATCCCAGCTACTCGGGAGGCTGAGGCAGGAGAATCACTTGAAACCGGGAGGCAGAGGTTGCAGTGAGCCGAGATCACGCCATTGCACTCCAGCCTGGGCGAGAGAGCGAAACTCCATCTCAAAAAAAAAAGAAAGACATGCTATCAGCACCCAGAAGGCCCCTTGTGCACTAGTCCAGGCACTACACACATCCCCACCCCATAGAACTGCTTGCTATCCTGACTTTCATGGCACAGATTAGTTTTCTCTTTTTTTGTACTTTGCATAAATGAAATCATATGGTATGTGCTCTTTTTCTCTTTGGGCTCTTGATCTCAACATTGTCTAAGATTCGTCCACATTGCTGCATGCAGTCATAGACCCTTCGTTCTCATTGTTGCAAAGCATTCCACTGGGTGAGTATACGATGCTACTGTTCATGGACGTTTGGGTGGCGTGCAGTAGAGAGGATTCATGTCTTCTGGTGAACACGTGTATGTCTTTCTGTTGGTGATCCATAATATTTTTAACTTGTTTATCTGTCTATTGGCTGTCATGTAAGCAGCATAAGGCAGAGATTTTTCTTTTCTTTTTTTATTTCACTGCTGTGTTCTCTGTGCCTAAAATGATGTTTGGCACATAGTAGGTGTTCAATAAATATTTGTTGAATGAATGAATGAGTGAATAAATGAAATTCTTTTTCCTTTTTTTTTCAGTGATCAGAATAGCAATAAACCAATCCTTCGCTTTCTTTAAAGAATATAAAATTCAATTCTGTGTTTTAAATATTCAATATGGAACTTCCAGAAATATGTAACAATCCATCGTAGGAAAATTTCACCATAGGCTTATGCCTCAGGAGGGCTGCATAACCCCTACTCACCATCTGGTAGATACATAATCAGTGTATGGTGGCTGTGACCTTAATTCTCTTGCAAGTCCAAAATCAGCAATTTTCACAAGCTCTGGACCCATACAAAGCAAGTTTTCTGGTTTCATGTCCCTATGAAAAAAGCCTTGATGATATACGGAGAAAAAAAAATACAGTAAATCATTACGTTTAAACATAGCTTTATTTGATTTATAAACAAAATATAAATGAACCCCCTCTTTTATAATTCAAAACATCATCTTAGGAAAAAAGTAAACCATATTTATTGTCTAAGAAGTAAATGGGGCGTAGGGACCCTGCTTTTAAAATGCTTTGGCAAGAAAGTTCACACAGTGTATGAGATAATTAAAAATAACCACCCATTTAACATTTATTTTTATTTGTGACTCCAGTGGGTGTTCAGGCACTGGGCTAGGTATTACCACACTATGATTATCTCCATTCATTTGCACAACAACCTGAAGGAGGTACTGTTATCACTATTGTGCAATAGAGGAGGAGGTTGAGGGCCAGAGTGAAGTCACCTAATTAACGTGTGAGAAGTGTTTTTGTTTTTAAGATAGGTCTTGCTCTGTTGTCCAGGCCAGAGCGTAGTGGCTCGATCTCGGCTCAAGCAATCCTCTCGGCCCACTAAGTAGCTGGGACCACAGGTGCATGCCACCACTCCCACCTAATTTTTGGTATTTTTGATAGAGACAGGGTTTTGCCACGTCACCCAGGCTGAGAAGAGCACTTTTTAATCAGGCTTGAGTCAGTGCAGCTGACTTCTTGAGAAAAATCACTTGTTTAAAAAGTCCATTCAATAAAAATGGAACTCCACACATCAGAACTAATTTCTTCATTTAAAATTATTTTATCTAATGTTCAGTTTTCCTCAATAGCTGTGTCGTTGCAAAATCCCAATAATTATAATGTTTATATTAGCAATTCAATCTATAAAATAAATGGTTATGAAGCTAAAAGGGAAACCAAAGAAAATGAGGCAGAAAGCCCAGTGGGGGCCAGGCGTGGTGGCTCACGCCTATAATCCCAGCACTTTGGGAGGCCGAGGTAGGTGGATCATGAGGTCAGGAGTTTGAGACCAGCCTGGCCAATATGATGAAACCCCGTCTATACTAAAAATACCAAAATTAGCCGGGCATGGTGGTGTGCGCCTGTAGTCCCAGCTACTCAGGAGGCTGAGGCAGAAGAATCACTTGAACCTGGGAGGCGGAGGTTGCAGTGAGCTGAGATCATGCCACCGCACTCCAGCCTGGGCAACAGAGCAAGACACTGTCTCAAAAAAAAAAAAAAAAAAGAAAGAAAAGAAAAAGAAAACCCAGGGGGAAAAGAACAAACATTAAAGCCCTCCTGGCAGATGAGATTTGTCTTAAGGGAGGCTTTTTCTAAGGGCAGTCTACAGCATTCTGGTTATATCCAAATGGCTTGGGTTCCAAAGGCCTTGGGAGGCAGGGAGACTGCAGGTGATCACTTGAAGAGGGTTTTCATGTAGCTTTGGAGCTGGGAAGACTTTCTTTTATCTTTTTCTTTTTTTTTTTTTTTTTTTGTTTTGAGACGGAGTCTTGCTCTGGAGTGTAGTGGCGCAATCTGGGCTCATTGCAACCTCCGCCTCCTGGGTTCAAGCGATTCTCCTGCCTCAGCCTCTGGAATAGCTGGGATTACAGGCGTCTGCCACCACACTCGGCTAATTGTTTGTATTTTTAGTAGAAACTGGATTTTGCCATGTTGGCCAGGGTGGTCTCAAACTTCTGACCTTGTGATCCACCTGCTTCACCCTCCCAAAGTGCTGGGATTACAGGTGTGAGCCACCACGGCCAGCTGGGGTTGGGAAGCCTTTTTAAGCCTAAATGTTTTTAATCACTTCAAAGCCAGAGTGGGCTCTGTTTGTGACATCTGTTTAACAGTTTTGTAATCTGAGTTTATCCAGTACTTCTTACTCTAAATAGTAAGTAACATCCATTTCACTATGTCCAAGAGACATTCAGATACTTTTGTAATGTAACGACAGGAATGGGACCATGTGATGCACAGCAGAGTGACACTAATCCATAAAGTCTTAGAGAACTAAACCAATTACATATTTGTACAGCTGAGGTTTTCCCCATCCTAATATACATATATTAATAATTCAGTCCTATTTGAACTAAATATTTTCATTTTTTTGACAGCAACTATTTTATTTTATTTATTTATTTTTTGAGACAGAGTCTTGCTCTGTCACCCAGGCTGGAGTGCAGTGGCATGATCTCAGCTCACTGTAATCTCCGCCTCCCGGGTTCAAGCAATTCTCCTGCCTCAGCGTCCCAAGTAGCTGGGATTACAGGCATGTGCCATGATACCCAGCTAATTTTTGTATTTTTGGTAGAGATAGGTTTTCACCACGTTGGCCAGGCTGCTCTTGAACTCCTCACCTCAAGTGATCCGCCTGCCTTGGCCTCCCAAAGTGCTGGGATTGCAGGCGTGAGCCACCACGCCCGGCCAAACAACTATTTTAAAATATCTATTTCTTGAAGTATTACATCTGAGATGCTTAGCAGCAAGAATTATGTGGCTTTCGTAAAAACGTCTAATCATCCTTATAGGCTGGTTTCCCAAATTACTATGTAGCCAACTCTACAGTCAACTGTTGATTATTCATGTTATTTCTTTCAGTCACAATTTTTAAATCGTAATCGAACTTCCTCCTTCAATCCCTTATGCTTCAGACGTTGCTGACAGCATAAATCAACCCAGGCAAATGTCAAGTGTTACCATGCTGACCAGAGTTTAAAACAATTAAAAATCAGGAATCCATTATGAATAATTAAAATAGCAGATGTCCCTTATTTCCATATAATTAATACATTACTGCTGTTTGCCAATAAAGTGTAGTATATCATTACAGGATTTAGACTTTTAAAAGACCCCAATAGTTTACATATGGTGCAAATAAAAAGTTTTTTTTTAATGTTCTTAAAACATTCTAAACATACCCTTTTTATAAGTTTAAGAAGTGTTCTTAAAATATTTATATGGAATCCTGCATAGCATTTTTGGAAGGCAAATAATTCCTGTAGCAGTTAAGAAAATAAAAAAAACAAAATATAAACTACAGGAGGAGGATGGGTGTGATGGCTCCTGCCTGTAATCCCAGCACTTCCGGAGGCTGAGGTTGGAGGATCACTTGAGTCCAGGAGTTCAAGACCAGCCTGGGAAAAATGGCGAAACCTCATCTCTACAAAAAAGAAAAAAATTAGCTGGGTGTGGAAGCGTGCGCCTGTAGTCCCAGCTACTAGGGAGGCTGAGGTGGGAGGATCACCTGAGCCCAGGAAGTGGAGGCTGCAGTGAGCCATGATGGCACCACTGCACTCCAGCCTGGGCATCAGAGTGAGATCCTGTCTCAAATAATAATAATAATAGCAATAAAATAAAATACAGGATGAGACATGAAGGGAAACTAATGGTGATTTTCCAGTGCCTATGTTCAGAACACAGCAATGGTATGGGACAAACTTTTCTAATTTAGTATCTAAACATCTAGTGATTCTAAACAAATGTTTTTAAAAAATAATCATATTAACTTTTTGGACTAATAATTATTTTGATTTGATAGATATGAAAAACTACATTAATTGAAGTACATAATTCATAGAAAATAGATCAAGTATTAATACTTGCTTTAATTTCATTCACAGAATAGAAACAACTAAATGTAAAAACTAAGGAAAACTATAAAACACTGCTCCGTGGGTGCTACAAACTATTTAAGTGTTAATAATTGGTCATGCTAGATCAAAATAATCTAATCTTTTCCAAAAGAAGGTCCTTTTTTTTTCATTTCCACGATAAAATTAGGGAGAATGAGGTTGCAAGATGGGTATATGATGACTGAGACTAAAGGCTGATGATGATTAAACTGTTAAAAAATTCTGCTGTGGTGGAAGATAATTATAGATTATAGAAATTCTATTTTTTTATTTTTTGAGATGGAGCTTCGTTCTTTTTGCCTAGGCTGGAGTGCAATGCCACAATATCAGCTCACTGCAATCTCTGCCTCCTGCGTTCAAGCGATTCTCCTGCCTCAGACTCTCAAGTAGCTGGGATTATAGGCGCGCGCCACCAAGCCTGGCTAATTTTTTACATTTTTAGTAGAGATGGGGTTTCACCATGTTGGCCAGGCTGGTCTCGAACTCCTGACCTAAGGTGATCCCCCCCCCCGCCTCGGCCTCCCAAAGTGCTGGGATTACAGGTGTGAGTCCGGCCTGGTATGTATGTATGTTATGTATTTTTATATATATATATATATATATATATATATATATATATATATATATATAAATTTTTTTTTTTTTTTTTTTTTTTTTTTTTTGAGATGGAGTCTCACTCTGTTGCCCAGGCTGGAGTGCAATGGCATGATCTCAGCTCACTGCAACCTCCACCTCTGGGGTTCAAGCAATTCTCCTGCCTCAACCTCCTGAGTAGCTGGGATTACAGGCGCCCGCCACCACGCCCAGCTAATTTTTGTATTTTTTTTTAACAGAGACAGGGTTTCACCATGTTGGCCAGGCTGGTCTCAAACTCGTTTGACCTCAGGTGATCCGCCTGCCTTGGCCTCCCAAAGTGCTGAGATTACACACGTGAGCCACCGTGCCAGCCAGAAATTCCATTTTATACAGAATCACAGAAATTGATAAAGTTTTTAAATAAAAATGTCAGTGTGTATAGGCACATACTCCAGATTCATAGTTATCCAATATAACAGTTATTTAACAGTTTAATAAATTTGTATGCACAATCTGGACAGTAATCTAAAGAGGTAGGGAAATTAAACTTAAAAGAAACCTACCATGTTTATGGATAAAAGCCAGCCCTTGCAATATTTGATACATAATATTTCTGATGACTGATTCAGGGAACAACTTGTTTCTGTAAAGAAATGAACAGTCACATAATTCTGTTAAGCAACCAGCCAACCAATCCAAAGAAGGTTTATATTCCCCCTGCCTTGGAGCCTCTACTGGCCTCACGATACTGGTTAAACCTATGATTTATAGATTTATACTCTTAAAGCTCACACATTTAAAACATGAAAATTAGATTTTTTTTTGTTTTGATGTGAGGTAAAAACTCAAATCCAAAACTGAATATATTGCACACATATTAAATAGCTAATTTTTTTTTTTCTTTTGAGACAGAGTTTCACTCTTTGTTGCACAGGCTGGAGTGCAGTGGCGCAATCTCGGCTCACTGAAACCTCCACCTCCCGGGTTCAAGTGATTCTCCTGCTTCAGCCTCCCAAGTAGCTGGGATTATAGGCATGCACCACGATGCCTGGCTAATTTTGTATTTTTAGTAGAGACAGGGTTTCGCCATGTTGGTCAGGCTGGTCTTGAACTCCTGACCTCAGGCGATCTGCCCACCTCGGCCTCCCAAAGTGCTGGGATTACGGGCATGAGCCACTGCACCTGGCCTAAATAGCTAAATTTTAAACTGTCCCAAGAAGAGCAAAGCAAGTTGAAAAACTGAATTACTAACAGATAAGCCAAGCATGCAAATCTGTATTATGCAGGCTTGAAGAATTTGAGAGATGGCCGGATGTGGTGGCTAATGCCTATAATACCAGCACTTTGGGAGGCCAAGGTGGGAGGATCGCTTAAGCCCAAGAGTTCAAGACCAGCCTGGGCAACATGGTGAAACCTTGTGTCTACAAAAAATACAAAAATTAGCCAGGTGTGGTAGCGCATGCCTGTAGTCCAGCTGCTGGAGAGGCTGAGGTGGGAGGATCACTTGAGCCTGGGAATTCGAGGCTGCAGTGAGCTGTGACTGTGCCACTCCACTCCAGCCTGGTGACAGAGTGAGATCCTGCCTCCAAAAAAAAAAGCGGGGGGGAAATAAATTTAGAGATATAAATAAATGCTTCAGTTCTATTCTGCATATTGGTGTTGTCCAGTAGAAATATAAGAGCCGGCTGGGCATGGTGGCTCATGCCTGTAATCCCAGCACTTTGGGAGGCCAAGGTGGGTGGAGGTCAGGAGTTCGAGAGCAGCCTCGCCAACATGGTGAAACCTCATCTCTACTACAAATACAAAAATTAGCTGGCGTGATGGCACATGCCTGTAATCCCAGCTACTCAGGAGGCTGAGGCAGAAAAATCGCTTGAACCCGGAGGGTGGAGGTTGCAGTGAGCTGAGATTACACCACTTCACTCCAGCCTGGGTGAAAGAGCGAGACTCCATCTCAAAAAAAAAAAAAATAAAGAAAGAAATATATATGAGAGCCACTTGTGTACTTAACATCATTTTTCTAGCAGCCATGTTAAAATAAATCAAACAGGTAAAATTAATTTTTAACAATATATTTAATTTAACCTAATATATGCCAAATATTATTTCAACATGTAATCAGTATAAAAATGAGCTGACTGTACCACTGTACTCCAGCTTGGGTGACACAGCAAGACTATGCCTCTAAAACAATGTTTTTTTAATTATTTATTTTTAAAATTTTACCTTTTTAATTTTTATTTTTTGAAAAAGAGATGCGGGCTGGGTGCGGTGGCTCCCCCCTGTAATCCCAGCACTCTGGGAGGCCAAGGCAGGTGGATCCCTTGAGTTCAGGAGTTCAAGACCAGCCTGGGAAACATGGTGAGACCCTGTCTCTACTAAAAATACAAAAATTAGCCAGGCATGGTGGCACGTGCCTGCAGTCCCAGCTACTTGGGGCACCGAGGCAGGGGAATTGCTGGAGCCCAAGAGGTCGAGGCTACAGTGAGCCATGTTTGCACCACTGCACTCTGGCCCTCCAGCCAAGGTGAAAGAGCAAGACCCTGTCTCTGAAAAAAAAGAGAGACACATGGTCTCGCTATGTTGCCTAGGCTGGTCTCAAACTCCTGGGGCTCAAGCAATCCTCCCGCCTTGGCCTCTCAAAGTGCTGAGATTACAAGCATGAGCCATCAAGCTTGGAGTAAAAATTATTAATAAATTTGTTTTGTAACAAGTTTTCAAAATCTGATGTGCAATTTATTTTACATTTACAACACTCTTCAATGCAAACATTTCAGGACTTCAATAGCCACATCTGACTAATGGGTACTGTATTAGTGTAGCTTTATACAGTATATATATATATATATATATATATATATATATATGTATGTTTTCTTTTTTGTTTGAGATGGAGTCTTCTTCTGTTGCCCAGGCTGCAGTGCAGTGGTGCAATCTTGGCTCACTGCAACCTCTCCCTCCTGGCCAACGCAGTGAAACCCTGTCTCTACTAAAAATACAAAAATTAGCTGGCCTCCTGGGTTCAAGCAATTCTTCTGTCTTACCTTCCCGAGTGGCTGGGATTATGGGTGGCCTCAACCTCCTGGGCTCAAGCAATCTTCTCACCTCAGCCTCCAAGTAGCTAGGACTACAGGTGTGTGCCACCACACCTGGCTAATTTTTTAATTTTTTTGTAGAGATGGAGTCTCACTATGTTGCCTAGGCTGGTCTCAAATTCCTGGGCTCAAGTGATCCTCCCACCTCAGCCTCGCAAAGTACTGGATTAAAGGCAGGAACTACCACATCCATCCAGATTTATATATATTTCAAAAATAGATGAAAATTTAATATTTCATGAATTTACATGTATTTCATTTTTTTCTTCAACAAGGGTATCTTGATATTTCATGTAAGTATATATCATTTCAATATTTTAAAGGACAAAATTTATTAGAGGCTGAAAATTAAGATTACCCATAATCCCACCACCTGATTAAGAAACTTTTAATTTTTCAGTATTCTAATCCAGTCCTAATCCATCTGCATACATAACTTTTATATTAGGAATGAAAGTCACATACACACAATTTGGTTTGTTTTTTCACTTACAAGCGTTTTCATAACCCTTATAATTATCACCTTTAATGGTAATAATTCCATCAATATTATATACAATAATTACCAACCTATTTTCACACTAATTATTTATTTTAAATAGTTCAAAAAGTGAAGCTTAGTATAGCCATTTAACAGAATATATTATTTATAACTATAAAGACTAAGTATCCACATAAAAAATACTTGTAAGTAAATTAATCAAATAAAAAACTTTGTCCCACTAAAATTACAACTAAGTAAAAAGGCGTGCATGTCTATATAGAAGGCCTAGAAGGGACTCTGAAAAAGTAAAAACTGATTTGAGGGGCAGAAATTTACTTTTATTTTAATTGACATTAATGTTATGATGATTTCGGCCTGGAACATAAGAGGCATTCAATAAATATGTTTTGAGAAAGGGAAAAATATGATTAAAGAATAATTCAAGTAACATCCTCAGACCTTGAGCGAGAGTGTGTGTGTGTGTGTGTGTGTGTAAGAATCAAAGAGAAATCAACATCATTACTTCGGAAAATTATTTCTAAGTATTTCAGAGTTTGTTGTTGAACATTTCTCACTTTAAAAGCAGGCAAAATGGATGTTAATCTCCCAGACATGACCAGAACCACCACCAAAACATTATCTCCCCAAGCCCAGGGCGGAAGACCAAAGCTCTCCCTTTACAGATTCTGCCCACACATATTTAAAAATTGTGAATTTCCTTGGGATTGGTAACACATCAAGTCTTATCACTGACTTGTGCATTCTAATGACTGAGCTTTTTAGATCCTTTCTTGAAAGCAACTTCATTCCTTTCTCCATTCTTTCATTAACCTTCACAAGATGCTTGGGAGAGCAACCAAGATAATTTTCTCAATAATGCCCAAGGCCAGCTTTATTATTGAGTAATAAACTATAC